>NC_000012.12:33955931-34108626 GCF_000001405.40 Homo sapiens | reverse complement strand
CAGAGCAGGGGCTGCCCTCGACCCCTCCCTCTCCCCTAACGCCCCTGCCTCCCACCGCACGGCCCCCAGGAGGAGCCAGTCCCCTAGCCCAGGGAGCTAGGGTGGGTGCGGCTTGGGGACCAGGCGTGGGAAGCTGGCCCATAGGGTCGCCCCTAGCAGGGACCCACCACAGCGCACACGCAAGAGCCGAGGCCGCAGGGCCGGGTGGACAGCGAGCTCTACGGAAACCCGCGCAGTGGGTCAGCCGCCAGCGGCCGCCAGGTCTGAGCGGTTCGGATCTCGAGCGGTCCCTGTGGCAGCCTCGCCAGGTCACGGCTTCCCGCTCTGGAGAGTTTGTGGTCCCTGTCCTGGGAGGGCTCCGCAGCCGCCAGGGAGGGACTAGACGGACCGCGGCGGGGAGAGGCTGCAGAGCCAGACTGTCCCGGACCGCCGCTTCCGCCCCTGCGCCGCCCTCCCAGCCCAGGTGACCGGTCGCCCTCCCCGGGATGCAGGCCCTCCTCCTCTGGGTCCCAAGCCAGGCGTGGGGGTCGCAGGCCGGCGCTACAGCCTGAGGACGCCGCGGCCTCTGCCCCGGGGAGGGCGCCGAATTCCGGACGGGGCGGCTGTCGCAGGCCATGGGGCCGCAGCCACGCTGGAGGACAGGGTCCGGCGGAGCGTCGGGGTCCTGGCAGAGGCCACGGCGAGGGCAGGAGCAGGTGCACACGCGTAGCCAGGCTCCCGGACCCCGCGGGCGCTTCCCCTGGCCAGCTCCGGAGCCGCGGGAGGGCGGCGCCCCTGCCCCTAGCCAGGCGGCAGCGCGAAGCTCTTTCCCCGCGTTGGGGAGCGGGCATGGCCCAGCAGCCCCAGTGCCTTACTAGTGAAAAAGCTGGGGTTAGAGCTGCCACGGGGGAAGGTGTGGGGTCCTAGGGGGCTCTGCCTGGACCTTCTGGGGGCCCTCCTACCATCTCAGGTTCCTCACCCGTCCCAGAGGACTGATGGGCTACTATGGCTGGCTTGTTTGTAGGATTAGGCCAGATAGTCCCAGTAAAGTCCCATTAGCCCTCCTGGCCTTTGGAATTTTTTTTTTTTTTTTTTTTTTTTTTTGGCTGAGTATGGGACCCATACTCATTTTTTTTTTCTGGCTTTCTTAGGAAACTTTGCTGAATGAGCCCAGGTGCTGAAGCAGGAAGGCTGGACCCTCTCCCTTGGCATCGCAGTTCCTTCCAGACTCCCCCTCTTCTTAGGCTCTTTTCAAGCACATACCCGGCAACATGTGCCCTGCCCAAGAGCGCTTCACAGATCTTCCTGCAGGTCTAAAACCAGAACGCTTTGTTCCCTGGCCCTGGAACTCATGTCACCCCAAACGGCGGAGCCGGCTTCGGACTCGAGTCTCAGTTTAATACTTGTTCCCTAAGGTCTGCCCAGGGCTCTTATGATGGGACTTCGTTCCACTCCATCCCACCCTGTGCCTCCCCCAATGCGCTGGGGGCCTCAACTGCAGGGACTTGGAACTGGGAGACCTCCCCAACAGGCTGGCCTGGCCATGGACTGGTGGACCTCAGTCCCAGGGCGAGACACCCAGGGCAAGTACCCTCAGCCCAGCTTTTGTACACTCCAGCCATTTAACCTGGTGTGGTGGCCTCACTGGGTCCCTAGCTCTGTGGGGTGGGATTTCTCCCTTGTGTCATAGTGGAGGAAACTGAGGCATAGGGCCATTGAATGACAAACTCAGGGAGATTCTCTGACTGAAATGCCCTCTAGGTCCCGCAGGTCCCTCCAGGACACAGCATCCCTTGGGCTGCTGCATCAGTGGGCTGTTGTCTTGGGCACCCCAAGCTCAACACCATGTGGGGATGACGCTGGGGAATGTGGGGACAGGGATATTTGTCCCCCACATCAGCACAGCAGGAGTTTCATTCTCTGGTGTGCGTGGACACCACCGCATGTGTGGGTGCTGGTGGGGCCCCCATTTTACTGATTAAGAAAGAGCCCTTCCTGGGGCCTCTGGGGAATTGAGCACCATATGTGCCTGGTAGCTGTTAGGGTGTGGAGGGGCTCAGCTGGCCTCTGTCCTGTTGTCACCTTTTCAGGGTCAGTTAGACCCTGAACTCTTATTACCAGTCATGCCTGGATGCACACCACCCTTCACTTGGCATCTCCCAGCCTGATTCCCCCCAGCTCAGCCCCTGAGTTTTCTCAGGCCTCTGTTGGCCCTGAATGGGATCCCAGGAGATGGCAACTCTGCTGCCTGCCTCTGCCTGAAGTCCAGGGTACTTTTGCAGGGTGGGTGAGCAGGTCAGGATTCAGCTTTTGGCTGAGTATGGGACCCTTCCCCACTCCCCACCCCACACTGCTGGAACCACTGTGCACGGCTGGCCTGGGGGCTGCACTGGGTCCCCCAACTTCCTGCTGTACTGGATTGCAGAGAATACTTGTGCATATGGCTTGACCTATTGTCAATGTCCCGTCCAAATCAGAACTAACGAGCTGTTTCCCTGGGGCCAGGGCCCAGGCCTGAGGCTGCCATGACCAGCCCATTCTCTGCCTTCTTTGGGGCCGTCAATGGCCAGTGCTTGGTGGTCCCCAAAAGACATGATGGCCAGGACTTAAGAGCTGGAGGTTAGGCCAGGACACTGCCTGACCACTGGGGTCCACAGGGGCTGTCCCTGAGCTGTGAGTGCCTATGGGATGCAGGCACATGTAGATGCTTTAGATGAGCATGGGCCCTTCTGGCTGGCAGGATCTTGGTGGGCACTGGGCATGTGAGGCCAGGTTAGGTGAGATGAGCAGAATTGGGCCTGGCTGGGGAGCATGATTGGTGTGGCCAGAGTGGGCATCTGGGCCCTCATATCTAAGCTGCACATTGGCAGAATGACAAGTGGTGGGTCAATCATCCCAGCTGAGTCTGGGGACATAGGCCTACCCAGTGGGACCCCCGCCCTTGTCCCGGCCACAAGCCCAGAACGTCTGCCTGCACTGGGTATTCTAGCCTGGGCAGGGAAGCCTGGGTGTGATGATCAGGTGTCGTGTCTCTGGGTTTCAGGCCTTGGTGGCCCCTAGGGAGATGGACAGGCCCCGGGCAGGGGGAGGGGCCTGGGCACCACCTACGTGCATTCGCCCCTGGATGGGTGCCCCCACCCCAGCTTCTCAGCCCTCAGGGCAACATAACCAGGGCTTCCCACCTGCTCTGTGGCTCTAGCTCTGACCCCCTTGCACCATTGCAATGGTGGACCATTGCACCATTGGTACTCTGGGATTACTGGCTTCTTATTTTTAAAATATTTTTCCAAGGAACTATAGTCATAACACTAATTCACTTCTAAATTGTGACTGAATAGTCCTGCTTGGGCTATTTATTACCTTCTATTCTTCTGCACAGTCTAAGGGTACAAAAAATAGGTAGTTTTATATCATTTTTAAATTGAGAAGGTAGATGTGGGAGGTAGGGTTCTCCTAGAAAAAGTTTAAGTGTCTCCTTATCAATACTTCTAAAGTTCATCTCAATCATTCTTTCACTCTTATTCATATGTTCATATTTATTTTCTTCAAAACTCTTAGGTCTATCCATAATCACAATGCGTCTGTTTACTGTTATCTTCTCTCTGCTCACTGGAAGATTTGATCCTTCATTTCCATGGGCTTTTAATTTTTTCATCATTGTTTCTCTAGTTAATAGTACCTTCAGTAGTCTCAAAAACGTATTGAATAAACAAATGATAAGTGAATATTTAATGTGTTCAATAGAAAAATTGCATCACAAAGGAGCACTGTCGCTGCAAATAGCCTCAGTGCTAGGTTAAAAAAAATAATGTCAGGGATCGCAGCTTCTAAAGGTTTCTTTCAAACTAATACATTGATTTATGATTAATTGATCAACTAACTGGAAACTACTTAATTTATATTCAAATATAGTTAGTTCAATTGTACACTATCTACTCTAAATATTATGATGCTTTTAAAGTATTAAGATAAAGCCTTATGCAGCTAAATAGAAACATGTACATACTATAGTGTTAAATGAAATAACTGTATAGTAAAAAATGTTGCCTAATCTTATAAAATTATAGAAATGAGAAAGAAAAATTAAATCAAAATGGTTCTTTTCGCTAAAGTGATGATGCTAGGATGACTTCCTGTTTTTATTTTTTAACCTGCTATTTTTGCAATAATGCTTATTTGTATTTTCGAAATATGGGCATTAAAATCTCTTGGGATCTGTCTTAGGCTGATTCAGCATTTGAATTGACCATATATACATGTCACTTACATATAATTATTATATATGATATATAATATATAAATATATATTATTGTATTATAGAATTGTATGTTATATATAATTATTACATATAATTATATATAACACAATTCTATAATACAATATTAATTATAATATATAATTAATTTATATTAATGTTATATTATAATTTATATTATAAGTTATGTAGTATAATATATAATTAATTTATATTAATATTATATTATAATTATATAATTATGTTATATATAATTCTTATATGTAATAATTATATATATAATTCTCTAAAAATCTCTAAAATTGACTACTTTCTTATTATTTCTCTAAGCAAAATATCTGTTGCCTCCGATTTTGGTTGACTAACAACTGACATTTGCTTAATGCTCCCGGTGTTTTTATCCCATAGCAATTAACTCCATTACTGCCTCTTTCCACTGATAAAGTCCTCCCCACTCTTTCTTGTTTTTACTCCAAGAATAGCTGTCACAGACATTGTCTTCTTAAAATCGTCATGGAAATTATGTATGTGTGGGTCTATGTGTGTGAATGTTGGCTAACGGGGGAAAATGTTAAGAAACACCTGCCCATAGAAACAGAGCAACCCATGTAATTCTTTCTCCAGGAGCTGTTATCAATTTCAAAAAAAAAATTCCTTTAAACATCGAATATTCATAAAAATGCAAGTGATTTTTCCACTAATAATAAAAATGGTAATAAATACTCCATATTTGACATTATCTTGTTGAACACACACCTTCTTCATGTTTTATTTTCTTTGACACAATAGCCCCAGGAGAGAAGTGAAGCAAGCATTAATTCATTTTTCAAAATGATTTTAATAAATATATCCATATATAGGTCCTGTAATATACTTGTTCTTTCTACTGTTTGCCACTGACTTTCTTTTTCTAGTGGATATTATATTAAATACATTTCTCTAGTACTGACTGACGTCTTATTTGCTCTTTAAAATAAGATCAGCTAGAGCATGCTGCATTTCCATGAAATTTTTATTGTGTAGACTTTAACATTAATGAACCTGAATGATTTTATGAAGCACTTGATTTGCACTCTCAAGAAATTGTGTTATAATTAATATCACTATGGATAATTTATCTTCAAGATGGTTTAGGTTGGAATATTAAAGTTGTTGACTGAAAAGTCAGGGATTAATCATTTTGGCTGCAATTATTTATACAAAATGACTGAAAGGACTCTCAGACCCTCAGTGTATTTCTGCAAAGGAGACCTTTATATGAAGATGGGATAAATTTGAGTTCACATGGTTACCCACTAGTTTAATTAATGTTTACAGTTCTCTGAGAAGAAAATAATTGACATTCATAATTGCCAAAGAGGAAAACTAAGACACAAAAGAATAAACTTCAGAGAAGGTCATACTTTGTTTTTTTGTTTGTTTGTTTGTTTGTTTTTGCAGTTGCAAAATTTAATAGAGTGAAATAGAGTGAAAACAGAGCTTCCATACAAAGGGAGGAGACCCAAAGGGGGTTGCCGTTGCCTGCTCGAATGCCTGGGTTTATATCCCGATCCTTGTCCCTCCCGCTGTGCTCTCAGGCAATAGATGATTAGCTATTTCTTTACCTCCTGTTTTGCCTAATTAGCATTTTAGTGAGTTCTCTGATTGGTCGGGTGTGAGCTAAGTTGCAAGCCCCATGTTTAAAGGTGGATGTGGTCACCTTCCCAGCAAGGCTTAGGGACTCTTAGTCAGTGTAGGAAATCCAGCTAGTTCTCTCAGTTCCCCCTCTCAACAGGAAAACCCAAGTGCTGTTGGGGAGGTTGGCTGACGATCGCTCTAACTGCTTCCGGCTGAATTGGGGCATAGTAGGGGTGATGCAGTTGAGATTTCCTTGGGAGGTGTGCCTTCGATGTCATTAACATTGGAACATGGGCTAGCAGGCTGGTCCAGGGGTCCACGGTATATCTTAGTCATGGACTGCATCTGGGGCTCCATTTGAAGAACAATTTGTAGTTTTACGGCTTCAATTCTGGAAGAGACAAACTTAACAAGGAGGTTAAAGATACAGGGATTGAAATGTATGGCCTGAAGTGCAGGGGATTATTTCTTTGGCACACTTCACAGGCCCTGACTATCTGCTTGATAGTTTTGAAAAGGCCTGGTCCAGTAAATAATGATTTGGACATCTGATGGGTGCTATCAATGCCTAAGTGAAAGGTTTGGTGAAGGGTTTTAAGTAATTTCCATTGGTTAGCTGCAGGCAAAAGCATTTTTCCTTATTCGGTGGCTAGCCATCCTGAGGGGAGAAAACTATGTCCTTGTGAGGTTCCCCATTCTATTTCTCCTGCTGAGTATTGGGGCTTGGTTTCCCGGAGGGGATTATCCCATACTAGGGGTACTTCTATAAGAATTTCTAATGGAGGGTCCTGCCCTGTGGCTCTTTTGGCTTCAATATTCGCTTGGTGGTTCCCTTCTATTTCCCTTTCCTTTGCTTTCTGATGACCCCGGCAGTGTAAGACTGCCACCTCTTTAGGTTTCTGTACAGCCAATAATAATCTCCTAATGGCTTTCTGATGTTTGATAGCTGTTCCCTCGGAAGTTAGGAACTCCTTTTCTCTCCATATTGCTGCATAGGCATGGAGGACTAGGTAAGCATACTTAGAGTCTGTGTATATATTTACCCTTTTTCCTTCTCCTAATTCTAGTGTCTGAGTGAGGGCTATTAATATTGCCAGCTGAGCACTAGTTCTTGGAGGGAGGGGATTACTTTCAAGTATTCCATTATCACTGACCACTGCATACCCCACTAAGTCCTTTTTCTACAAAGGAACTTCCATCAGTATACAAGTTGAGGTCGGGATCAGTCAAGGGAAACTCGAATGGCGTAGGTTTGAGCAATTACTTGTTGACAGTTATGTTCTATTTTTTCTTCATTGTCTGGAAGAAATGTGGCTGGGTTAAGTGTTGCACAAGTGCGCAGTCACAGCACTGGCCCTTCAAGTAATAGAGGCTGATATTTAAGTAAACAGTTGTCTGGCAGCCACAAGTCTCCTTTAGCAGTGAGTATGCCATCCACATCATGAGATGTCCACACAGTAAGATCTCTTCCCTGTATTATTTTAACTGCTTCAGATACTAAGACTGCTACTGACACCACTACCCATAAACAATGAGGCCAAGTCTTTGCCACTACATCAATTACTTTACTCAGGTATGCCATGGGTTGCAAGCTCATCCCTTGGACCTGTGTAAGGACTCCTAGAGCTATTCCTGTTTTTGTGTGACATATAAAGAAAAGTCTTGCCCCATTGGCAAGCTTAACACTGGGGCTTGGGTTAGGGCCTTCTTTAGGGCCTGGGAAGCTGCTTCTGCTTCAGGTGTCCATCTTACTAAATGGGTATTGGCTTTCTGAGTTTCCTTAATTAGCGTATATAATGGTCTGGCTATTTCGCCGTATCTGGGAATCCATATTCGGCAGAAACCTGTTAAGCCAAGGAATGCTGTTAGTTGCTTTAGGGTTTTGGGATAAGGATAAGCCAGTATAGGCTGGATACATTCCTCACTGAGGGCCCTGGTGCCTTTGGATAATTTTAGCTCTAAGTATTTAACCTGCTGTGAGCAGAGCTGAGCCTGTGGTTTGGAAACCTTGTAGCCACAGGTGGCTAGGAAATTTAAGAGTGCTTGGGTGGCTTGATGGCACAAGGTTTCTGAATGGGTGGCTAAAATTAAATCATCCACATACTGAAGGACAAGAGTGTCCAGGTATGAGAACTGGCTCAAGTCTTGGGCTAATACCTGGCCAAATAGATGGGGGCTATCCCTGAACCCTTGCGGTAAAACAGTCCAGGTGAGTTGAGACATTGGGTTCAAAGGATCTTCAAAGGCAAAAAAGAATTGAGAGTCAGGATGTACAGAGATGCAGAAAAAGGCATCCTTAAGGTTCAGGACTGTAAACCACTCTGCTTCCTCTGGTATTTGAGAAAGCAGAGTATAAGGTTTAGGTACAGCTGGGTATAGAGGGAAAACGGCCTTACTGATAATCCGATCTTGCACTAACCTCCACTGTCCATTGGGTTTCTGTACTCCTAAAATTGGGGTATTGCAGGGGCTACTGCATGATTTTACTAGGCCTTGGGCTTTTAGGTCCTTAATCTTTTGGAGTCTTTGTTGGGCCTCATGTCTAAGGGGGTACTGCCTTTGGTAGGGAAAGGAGGCGGAATCCTTTAGTTTAATTTGAATACGATGGGCATTCATTGCTCGTCCACATTGTCCTTCTGTTGCCCAGACTTCAGAGAAGGTCATACTTTGAGTAAATAATGGCATTCTGAGATTCCACCCTTTAGTCTGCCTCTGTCAGCTTTCTGAGGGTGATAACTATGCTGACCTCCTAAATGTACAGCACCTAATATATAGCTACACATATCCTAGACTGCTAATAAATGCCACTTGTCACCTGGATAATCCTTCCTTCATGGGAACTGTGCTGCCTAATTAGTTCTGTTATACTCTCCTTAAGTGTCCTTAGCCCCCTTTCCTCTTCTCTATACTGCTCTCAGGTAACACTAAATATCCCCAGTCATTGTACCACAAAGTGGGTTGTATGGTGGTCCCAAGAAACATATGTCTACACGGTAATACCCAGGCCCTGTGAATGTTATTTTATTTGGAAAAAGTGTTCTTTGCAAATGTAACTTAATTAAGGATCTTCAGATGAGATCATCCTGGATTATTTGAGTAGGCCCTAAATCCTGACACGTGCTCTTGTAACAGACTGAAGAGGAGAAGACACAGACACAGAGGTGAAGGCCATGTGAAAATGGAGAAAAAGATAAGACTTACCCAGTCATAAGCCAAAAAGTGCCTAGAGCTGCCAGAGGCGAGGCTAGGCAAGGAAGATCCTCCTCTAAATCATGAGCAGAAAGTGTGGCCACCCACACCTTTGATTTCAGACCTCTGCTTCCAAAATTGTGAGATAATTAATTTCTTTTGTTGTAAGCCATCCAATTTGTGGTACATTGTTGCAGTGGCCCTACAACACTAATATGAACTGCAATGATAACTGATAGAGAAATGGTTTTGAATAGGTAAAATAGGAAATATTCTAAGATTTGTGTATTTAATTTAGGCAATAGTCCAAGAAAAAAGCACACAGGTATATGTAATAAAGTAGAAAAGAGCTACATTTTAATAAATTGATCTGAGATAGGAATAGATTTGCTGCAGATGTTCAGCCCACTTTCACAATTGGTTAGTTTTTCTCCTTAGCAGTCACTAGTCCTCACTGAGAAATCAAACAAACAAAACTTCTCTCTTGCTCTAAATAAAATAGTAAATGGATACTTAGTATCTTCAAATAATGTTTTTTCCTGCCTCAGATTTTTCTGGCTGTATGTATAAGGGATAGTGTTTACTATGATGATCAAAAGTTCTCTTTTTTTACTGGAGAAATAAATTTGCTCTGCAGCAGTAAGGTTTGAGGATTGTCCTGGATAAAAATGAAGCCAAGAAGTTGAATTATTTACCAAGTAAAAGGTATTTATTTCCTAAGGTTGTGGTCACTTGATGTTATTCCTAGAAAAGGGCACAGTTGTCTGTATATGTTAGAATATAAAACTAAAAATAACATTTCTAAAAGTAAAGTGATTATTTTATCATCTAGGAGATGCATTTTTTAAAACTGTAATCATGACATACGTTGATTTACAAAATAATAAACCCCCAGCTAGCTACTCTAACATGAATGAGTTACTATACAGATAGAGCATTGGCTACTCAAAGAAGTCACTGGCAATTTTTTTTTTGAGGTGGTGGTGCATAATGGTTGTGTCGCTGAGAGACTAGAGAGCCCAGCTGTATCTGCTTAAGCTTGATTGAAATATCTCCATCAAGCGTGAACAGTTCAAGTGGGGTCCAGAGGCACTTCCCAAAGGGTTCTTTGTCTATGATTTTCTTGCTGTGGTCATTTTATCAGGAGACTCAATTTCCAACACTTTGGGACTCCCCTGCTGAGAACTCCAGTGCTGAGAGTACAGCTGTGCAGGGCACCTGCTAATCGTGCCGTTCATCAGTTATCTCTATGTCATTGTCTTTGCCACCAGACTCTGAACTCACTTTCTATTCCTATATTACTATGCTCTTGTAACTCACTTTTGAAAATTATTACAACATTGTCGCTTTAACTTTTAAAGTTAAAATGGCAACAGGAAACTCATGAACAAAGGAGATGTACATAGAGACAGTCTATTCATTAAGCTCTGGGAATTGCATACATTTCCTCCCCACTGGCTCTTCCAGGGCCCTGTGCAAGATTTCCCTGTTCTATTCCTAGTGAAGTCCTTGACACATAAACCAGCCCTTAAGGAAAAGCTGACAACGTTGCTAAAGAAACAAATGAACCAGGCAATTCAGAAGAACCCAAGGACAAATTTCCCCTCAGGATAACAAGTTCACCTCCAGTGACAGTTCAACCAAAATTACTAGAAGGATATTAATTCCCTGTTGATCTCTTTAAAATGAAATTAACAGTCTAAAATCAATAATTTCAAATCTATACAATGATTAATAACCTACCACATGTTACAGAAATATAGAGATTCCTCAGTTCTAAATATGGTGACTAATTATAAATATTTCAAAGCCTCCAACAAGATTCCAAGGTCCAGTGGACCATGAGTCTCTAAGCTATTGAAATCCCTCTTGCGCTTGGCTGCAATCATATTTTGCCCAAGTGGAACCAGAAGGCTTATTTTGAGGTCTAGGGTGTCTCAATCTATTTTTCTTAATAAGATCAAAGGAGAAGACTTCTCGGACTGGGATTATGACTTATATAAGATTTTAAGGAAAAAAATGGAGGTCATCCTGCACTGGGAAGTTTCCACAACATTCAAAGGAGAGGAACTTCATCCGTCAACCAATACTTGATTAGATCTTACACCCTTCCGAGAAGAGAATGATGTCCTCTCCCACAACATCCAAAGAAGAGGAACTTCATTAGTCAACTAAGACGTGATTAGATCTTACACCCTTCCAAGAAAAGAATGACTTCCTCATTTTCAATAATAAACCTGTCTTTCAAAAAGAAATAATCTGACTGTATGAATCCCACTTTAGGAAGACTTTTTACATATCTTTTTTCATCTGAAACATAATTAGAAGATTTTCATGAGCAAGTTAAGCCCTTCTAAAGCATATCCAGAGCCAATATATAGGTTTGGTCGTTATTAGGATGAACCATATAATATTGCCTCATTCAAGTCAAAACTATAAAATATTGGCCAAAAAAACTATGGTATTAGGGGTCAGTCTTGGGAGACAATGACTTGAAACAGGTAAAATGGAATTTCTGAGGTTCTGATAATGTTCTGCTTCTTTATTTGGGTGCTAATTAATTTTTAAAAATGCATTGAGTTGCATGTATGAGTTTTCATATGTATATTATACTTCAATAAAAGTTGATATTAAAGTAAAATATATGTGTAAACTTCAAAGAAATAAAGAAAAAGAGGATAAAACAATAGAATATCTCACTAGAGAACTTGAATCTATGAAAAAAATCAAATAGATATTCTAGCAAGGAAAATATAATATCTAAAATTAAAAACTAAGTAGACGAGTTTTATAACATTGAGTTTTATAACATTGGTGCTGGGGCAGACAGGATTAGTGAAAATACTCAAACCAAAACACACAATGAAAGCTGTTATCAGTAGGCAGTTTGCCTACTGATAAAATATATATTATCTATTTATCTATCTATCTATCTATCTCTCTCTCTCTCTCTCTCTCTCTCTCTCTCTCTCTCTCTATATATATATATATATATATATATATATATATAGAGAGAGAGAGAGAGAGAGAGAGAGAGAGACCAGCCCAGCCAACATGGTGAAGCCCAGTTTCTACTAAAAATACAAAAATTAGCCGGGCATGGTGGTGGGGACTTGTAATCCCAGCTACCCAGGAGGCTAAGGCACAAGAATCAGTTAAATATATATATATACGTGTGTATATATACACACACACATATATATACACACATGTATATATATATACACAAGTATATATATATATACCCCACATTTTCTTTATCCACTCATTGGTTAATGGGCATTTACACTGATTCCATAATTTTGCAATTGTAAATTGTGCTGCTATAAACATGCGTGTGCAAGCATCTTTTTCATATAAAGACTTCTCTTTTTCTGGGTAGATAGTAGCAAGATTGCTGGATCAGACAGTAGTTCTAGTTTTAGTTCTTTAAGGAATCTCCATACTGGTTGTACTGGTTTACATTCCCACCAGCAGTGTAAAAGTGTTCCCTAGAAAAGGAAGATTCTAGTTTAACAAAGATCTTGAGAAATATGTTAGCATTTCATTTATTTAGCCAGAAATCCTTGGTATCTTAAGCATTTGATGTCTCTAACATTTTTCTGAATCAAAGAAACCAATTTCTTTGTGAGTCAAAGTGAGCAAAACTCATCTACTACACAAAATCACCTACGTTATTGTTAAGAAACTTCTTGAAAGATTTGAAAAGGAACTAACTGTATGTTGAGGACTTAGTGTAGAGCATCAAGTTATCGCATTACACCATTCGAAACACTGGGATGTGTTAGTCCTTATTAATCCTTAAGCATTGGTCATTTTTTGTGTTCATCTTGTTCTCATTTTTCTACCAACAATGTCAAGAGATTCATTTGTGAAAGTACTGAAACAATCATCTGAAACATAAAGCACTGGTATTTTCCTTTTTAAAATGAGCAACCAGGGACGTTTTCTTCACCCTCCTCTTAAAATGAGCAATGATTTAGAGACGGCTGAGGAGGCCAGAATCTGGAAGTCTGCCTAACAGGTCATTTGTTTCCAGTTTTTGGAACATGAGACAATCACAATGATTGATGCTCTCATGTACAAGCTTTTTTGTTCTTGTGAGGTAACAGTGAGGGCATGATTATCCATCTTCGCCAGCTGATGTCTTGTTGGCACACCTGCCTTGTTACCACTCTAATTAACAGGCCCATGTCAGCAGCTCTGCTTGCTCCTGACAAGCTCCTAGCACAGGGGACAGCACGACCTGAAACTCTTAAGGATACCAACAGCAAAAAAACAAAAGCGGTAATGGTGGGGCAAGCATTAATCTAAAAATTTTTTTAAGAGGCAAATTTTTTATATTTGACTCCTTCTAATAATAAGGATTTGGTGGGGGGAAAGAGAAAATAAATTTCAATAAGATTTTTCCTCAGGGAAAGCAAACTTAGTTGTTGAAGTTTAGATTTCCTATGTAATGAGAAATTAATATTTTAGTAACTTCTATTCGATTGAGCCAGAGGAAACATCTTTTGAGAGAGCATTCTCCTTTTTACTGATAAATACTGTTTTTTCTTTTGAGATGGAATCTCGACCAGGCTGCCAGGCTGGAGTGCAGTGGAGCAATCTCAGCTCACTGCAACCTCCACCTCACAGGTTCAAGCAATTCTCGTGCCTCAGCCTCCTGGGTAGCTGGGATTACAGGTGCCCACCACCATGCCTGGCTAATTTTTGTATTTTTAGTAGAGACTGGGCTTCACCATGTTAGCCGGGCTGGTCTCAAACTTTTGACCTAAAGCGATCCATTTGCCTCAGCCTCCCAAGGTGCTGGGATGACAGGCGTGAGCCAATGCCCCTGGCCCAGAAAAACATCTTTCAATTTTCAAAATTTTATATAAGACTGTTAAACTCCAAATTTTATCTTCAGGAATTTAAGCTAAAGCCAAGTACTCTGCTAGCCAATGGAATTTATTTTTCTCCCTTTCCTCTCAGTAGTCATAGATTTTCTACTAATTTAACCATTTTATTTCTTTTTAATTTTATGTTTTTATTGTGCTCTTGTACAAACTGATCATCAACAAATAAACCAATCATGAAATATTTATTGACAGACACTGATGACAAGGGAGAAAATATGGGCTCTGAAGTCAGAAGACCTGAGTTCAAGTCCTACTTTGTCATTATCTGCTTGTGTGATTTCAGGCACTTACTCTCTTATCAAGTTCCTCATATGTACAATAGTGAAGGAAAGGAAGAAGTTCTGCTTCTTATAGTTACTATGAAAACTAGATGGAGCAAAACTAGGTGTCTTAAGTGTAAAATTAAATAATATCTATGATGCATATTATGAATTATACAGTACATGCAGTTGTTAATTGTCTGTATCAACTTGGTTAGGCTATGGTGCTCAGTTGTTTGGCCAGATACTAGTCTAGATATTGCTGTGAAGGCATTTTGTAGATGTGATTACTATTTACAATCAGTTGATTTTAAGTAAAGCATGTTACCCTCCATAATGTAAAGGGCTTTATCCATTCAGCTGAAGGCTTTAAGAACAAAAACTGAGGTTCCCTGGAGAAGAAAAATTTCTCCCTCAAGACTATAATACAGAAATCCTGACAGAATTTCTAGCCTGCTGGTCAGATATCTTTGAATATCAGACTCAAGACCATAATATCAACACTCACCTGAATTTCTAGACTTTCTGTCAACCTGCCTACATGTTTTAGACTTGCCAGACCCCACAGTCATGTGAGATATAAGCCAGTTCTTTATTTAAAATCTCTCTCTCTGTCTGTCTGTCTCTCTGGAGAATGCTATATGATACAGTACTTTCCTCAATTAGCAAAACCTTATTAGTCCTTGCTCTATGATAGACATTATATGAATATCTTTTTTTAAAAGTTCTGCATGGTAACTACTAAGTAACAGAGCAACTTCTTCTTTTTTTTATTATTATATTTTAAGTTTCAGGGTACATGTGCACATTGTGCAGGTTAGTTACATACGTATACATGTGCCATGCTGGTGTGCTGCACCCACTAACTCATCATCTAGCACCATCATTCTCAGTAAACTTCTTATTATTATTATTCATAAATGGTGGTTACACCAGATTTAACTATTGTCCCAAAACTCCAGATATTTTCCCTTAAACATATTGAAAAATAACAGAACCAACCCTATGGTCTTGAGCACAATTTATCTCCAAGCCATGTGAAGAGAGACGGGACTTCACAAGAATTAATTGAAGACATTGGAGGTGTACATGGGAAGGAGACGTTGGAGGCCTTTGCAATTCAGCAACCTCAGTACTTGCTGCCTTCCATGTAGGGAGGGTGTGGAAGAGTTTAGAGTATTTGTGAAAGCATGGAGCTTTTTTCTAAACACAAAAACTGATGTTTACTTCTCATCTGGAGATTCCTGAAGTAAGCAGCTTGTTGGAAAAGCCCCAGAACCAGAATAACATAGAGGTGTAGTATAGAATTGCCCCGCGGGGAGCTAGTGGTGGTTGGGGAAGAATAGGGTACCTCTATCCCAGTTATCCATAGCCCTTGGAGAGGTTACAAAGCTAATTCATATGGCTTCACATATAGGAGAAAGGGGATTAGAAGGAGAAATGAATCCATAGAGCTGTAACATCGATGACAGATCATGTGAGGAGATACCATTCCCTGTAAGGATTTGGTGCTGCGGTCAAGATTAAAGGCTAACATAATTCTCTAAGAAGATCTTCTTTCATCAAGTGCACCAGGTCAATTTGAACACTGTCCTAAACAACCATATGCATAACTGCAAAGGTCACCAGCACCACATAGAGCCAGAAAGAACTAGAGAAGACCAGAGCCATCCTCTAGCAGCAATATAGGGCCAGCTCACATCAGAAAATGTCACTCTGTCACTCCTGGTCTCATCCTGGCTCCATCCACTAAAGGAGGTATGCCTTCAAAAGAGAGTACTCTCCATCTTCACCATGCAAGCAGCCAGCATCACAGTTTGAACTAGAGATTAGTTGAGAATTCTTAAAAAACTAATTATACAAGGTAAAAGATAATATATGCCAGGCTAAATAGCACCTCATCTATATAATGCTCATTTCCAGCTTACAGGGTACCTTTAATAATACCATCTCACTTATAAGGATCCTATGAAATACTTTTTCCTGTGTATTTCCTTACAATGTAGTACTATTCAACCATTTAAAAAAATGAGATCATCATTTGCAACAGCATGGATGGAACTGGAGATCACTAAGTGAAATAAGCCAAACACAGAAAGACAAACATCACATCAGTTATTTGTGGGATCAGTTCTCAGTTATATGTGGGATCTATATAAATCAAAACAATTGAACTCATGGACATAAAGAGTAGAAAGATGGTTACCAGAGGCTGGGAAAGGTATTTTTAAATTTTAGGTTCCTGGGGTACATGTGCAAGTCTGTTACATGGGAATGTTGCATAATGGTGAGGCTTGGGCTTCTAGCTAACCTATCACCCAAATAGTGAACATAGTTTGTGATAAGGTAGTTTTTTCACCCTTACTCTCCTCCATTTCTCTCACTTTTGGAGTCTATTATTTCCATCCTTGTTTCCAGGTATACTCACTGTTTCGCTTCCACTTATATTTGAGAATATGTGGTATTTGACTTTCTGAGTTGTTTCACTTAGGATAATGGCTTTCAGCTCCACTCAGCTTGCTGCAAAAACATAATTTCATTTTTTATGGCTGCATAGTATCCCACATATATAATTTATATATATAAATAATAGTTTCCATATTAGCCATTTTATATATACAGAATGTACAGCCATATAATATATATAGTATTTTATATATATATGCTATATATATAGTATTTTATACATATACACTATATATAGTATTCCATATATCTATAATATGGCTGCATAGTATTCCATATATATAAACATGTTACATTTTCTTTATTTAATCAACTATTAATGGACACTTAGGTTGATTCTATGACTTCGCTATTGTGAATAGTGTGGCAATAAACATACAAGTGCACATGTCTTTTTGAGAAAATGATTTCTTTGGATAGATACCGAGTGATGGAATTGCCAGGTCAAATGGTAGTTCTATTTTTTATTATTTGAAACATTTCCATACTGTTTTTCCTTGCAATACTTATTTATGTCTTTAAAAAAAAAAATAAAGGAAATTCAGTTTCAGAATGATTAAGATACTTGCCTAAGGTCTCAAAGTTATGGTGCTAGGCCTAAATTTGTCCTAATGTCCAATATGGTCTAATCACAAACTTTTTTTTCAGCTACACCAGGTTTTAGGAGTTAATCATCCCACTAGAAATCCTCTGAAATAGTGGAGTATATCTTCTAATTCCTGGAAAGTCCTAAATTCTCTGGTACAAAAGCCAGAATTCTAGAGTAATGATGACATTACTTACTACATACCACAAGGGCACATTAAGAATGATCAGCACTTCTAATAACAACTTTTCATTAAACTCTGATGTTGAATGCTTTATATGCATTATCTCATCTAACCACATTAACATACTAATGCCAAATCTGTGGATAGGTGAGTTTTTCCTTGATTTCACCTTCCTGCCTTCTTCCTGTCATCTACAATCAAACAACTCAGCTACATAATAGGAGATGAATATATGTGGTTTGAATATATTCATGAAGGATTAATGAAATAATAACTATAAAATTGACAAGCAGCATATATTGACTTTCACTCTATCATTTAATCCCTCAAGTAAGCCTGTGCTTTTTAGTACTCAGCAAATATTTGCTGAAATAACTTATAAAAGAGTTATCATTACAAAGAGAAATCTATCCTATTTTAAGAATTGCCTAGAAGAAATCTACATCATTTTCATTTTCAATATTAGAAGATCGTATATTTTTAAGTTGGTGTCATCCCCTCTACTAATCTCAGTAACTAAGATTTTAAGTTAACATATTTATCAAAGGCCCCACAACTTATCCTATGACTCTACATTCTTTCTCTGAGCAAGTGAACATATAGTTTATTGAAAAATAAAATAATATTATTCTTCATGGATGAAATTCAACACACTCTTGTACCAGCTTCACTAATCAAATAGTTCTTTCTTATGCTTAACATAGTTTTTCTTCGAGTGATTTAAGATATTTCTTGTTGCTCTTTGTGAAACAAATTAAAATGATCAAATAAAAATCATTTTTATTTCTCAAATTCAAGCTAAACTATTTTTTAGTTAGGCTAGGTTCAATTTCAAGCAATAGAAATTTAACTCTCGCTCAAACAATGAGGAAATTCATTATTTCATTAAACAGGAAATCCAGAAGGAAGGCAGGCTTCAAACTTGGTTGCTCTAGCAGCTCAGTCTTCCATCAAAGACCCAGGTTCTTTTTTGTTGTTATTTTTTGTTACTGTTATTGGCTTCCCAGCTGTGCTGGCTGCAGCCCCCAACTGAATCCTAAATCAAGATCTGGCAATTAAAATTAAAGCCACAGTACGTAGGATGGATGCAACATCTTAGTGATGCTTACCATCCCCTTGACTCTCTCTGCTCCCTCTCCCCTACTCTCTGTTCCTGGTTCATTGATCTTCATGCCACACTGTTGCTTGGGGCTTTTGCTCTGTCTCCTGAGCCTAACACACTCTTCCCTCACATCGCATATTCATTTGGCCAATTCCATCATGTTCTTCAAGCCTTTGCACAAATCTCACAGTCTTATTCTGACCACTTAATTTAATTAAACAACCTATTCCTGGGCACTCTGAATCCCCACTCTCCTTTTATTTTACACCGTACTTGTCACCTTCAGATTTATTACTTAGTTTATCAATTTATTATGTTGACTGATTATTTTCTTACTCCTATGTCGATCTCCTCCTAAATCTCTTACTCCTAAAGTCAATCTCCACAAAGGCAAGACTTCTTGGTTTACTCATTAGTATATCCCAAGTACTTAGAAGAGTCATTAAGAAATAATAAGAGCTCTATTCAATATTAGTTGAATATTGTTGAATGAATGTTTATAAAATGGCTGCCTGTACTAATTAGATTCATAGGCTTCCTTGTTTATTTACAGGAGGAAAATAGAACTGGTTTCTCTTGTTCTGAAGACAGCAAAGAAGCATTTTAGACTAAGGCTCTTTAGAACAAGAAAGAACAAGCAGGACTCTGCTTAAATCTCATTGGTTAAAAATTAGATTACACACACTTTCCTGAATCACTCCAGTGGAATAACTATAATTACCAAGATTGGTTTAAATTAATCAGATCCTACTTTCTTTTTTTTTATTATACTGTAAGTTTTAGTGTACATGTGCACAACGTGCAGGTTTGTTACATATGTATACATGTACCATGTTGGTGTGCTGCACCCATTAACTCATCATTTAGCATTAGGTATATCTCCTAATGCTATCCCTCCTCCCTCCCCCCACCCCACAACAGTCCCCAGTGTGTGATGTTCCCCTTCCTGTGTCCATGTGTTCTCATTGTTCAATTCCCACCTATGAGTGAGAACATGTGGTGTTTGGATTTTTGTCCTTGCTAGAGTTTGCTGAGAATGATGGTTTCCAGCTTCATCCACGTCCCTACAAAGGACGTGAACTCATTATTTTTTATGGCTGCATAGTATTCCATGGTGTATATGTACCACATTTTCTTAATCCAGTCTATCATTGTTGGACATTTGGGTTGGTTCCAAGTCTTTGCTACTGTGAATAGTGCCACAATAAACATACATGTGCATGTGTCTTTATAGCAGCATGATTTATAATCCTGGGTATATACCCAGTAATGGGATGGCTGGGTCAAATGGTATTTCTAGTTCTAGATCCCTGAGGAATCGCCACACCAACTTCCACAAAGGTTGAACTAGCTTACAATCCCACCAACAGTGTAAAAGTGTTCCTATTTCTCCACATCCTCTCCACCACTTGTTGTTTCCTTTTTAATGATCGCCATTCTAACTGGTGTGAGATGATATCTCATTGTGGTTTTGATTTGCATTTCTCTGATGGCCAGTGATGATGAGCATTTTTTCATGTGTTTTTTGGCTGCATAAATGTCTTCTTTTGAGAAGTGTCTGTTCATATCCTTCACCCACTTTTTGATGGGGCTGTTTTTTTTTCTTGTAAATTTGTTTGAGTTCATTGTAGAGTCTGGATATTAGCCCTTTGACAGATGAGTAGGTTGCAAAAATTTTCTCCCATTTTGTAGGTTGCCTGCTCACTCTGATGGTGGTTTCTTTTGCTGTGCAGAAGCTCTTTAGTTTCATTAGATCCCATTTGTCAATTTTGGCTTTTGTTGCCATTGCTTTTGGTGTTTTAGACATGAAGTCCTTGCCCATGCCTATGTCCTGAATGGTAATGCCTAGGTTTTCTTCTAGGCTTTTTATGGTTTTAGGTCTAACAGGTAAGTCTTTAATCCATCTTGAAGTAATTTTTGTATAAGGTGTAAGGAAGAGATCCAGTTTCAGCTTTCTACATATGGCTAGCCAGTTTTCCCAGCTCCATTTATTAAATACAGAATCCTTTCCCCATTGCTTGTTTTTCTCAGGTTTGTCAAAGATCAGATAGTTGTAGATATACAGCATTATTTCTGAGGGCTCTGTTCTGTCCTATTAGGCTATATCTCTGTTTGGGTACCAGTACCATGCTGTTTTGGTTACTGTAGCCTTGTAGTATAGTTTGAAATCAGGTAGCATGATGCCTCCAGCTTTGTTCTTTTGGTTTAGGATTGACATGGCGATGCGGGCTCTTTTTTGGTTCCATATGAACTTTAAAGTAGCTTTTTCCAATTCTGTGAAGAAAGTCATTGGTAGCTTGATGGGGATGGCATTGAATCTATAAATTACCTTGGACAGTATGGCCACTTTCACGATATTGATTCTTCCTACCCATGAGCATGGAATGTTCTTCCATTTGTTTGTATCCTCCTTGATTTCATTGAGCAGCGGTTTGTAGTTCTCCTTGAAGAGGTCCTTCACATCCCTTGTAAGTTGGATTCCTAGGTATTTTATTCTCTTTGAAGCAATTGTGAATGGGAGTTCACTTATGATTTGGCTCTCTGTTTGTCTGTTATTGGTGTATAAGAATGCTTGTGATTTTTGTACATTGATTTTGTATCCTGAGACTTTGCTGAAGTTGCTTATCAGCTTGAGAAGATTTTGGGCTGAGACGATGGGGTTTTCTAGATATACAATCATGTCATCTGCAAACAGGGACAATTTGACTTCCTCTTTTCCTAATTTAATGCCCTTTATTTCCTTCTCCTGCCTGATTGCCCTGGCCAGAACTTCCAACACTATGTTGAATAGGAGTGGTGAGAGAGGGCATCCCTGTCTTGTGCCAGTTTTCAAAGGGAATGCTTCAGGTTTTGTCCATTCAGTATGATATTGGCTGTGGGTCTGTCATAGATAGCTTTTATTATTTTGAGATACGTCCCATCAATATCTAATTTATTGAGAGTTTTTAGCATGAGGGGTTGTTGAATTTTGTCAAAAGCCTTTTCTGCATGTATTGAGATAGTCAAGTGGTTTTTGTCTTTGGTTCTGTTTATATACTGGACTATGATTATTGATTTTCATATGTTGAACCAGCCTTGCATCCCAGGGATGAAGCCCACTTGATCATGGTGGATAAGCTTTTTGATGTGCTGCTGGATTCTGTTTGCCAGTATTTTATTGAGGATTTTTGCAGTGATGTTCATCAAGGATATTGGTCTAAAATTCTCTTTTTTGGGTCTCTGCCAGGCTTTGGTATCAGGATGATGGTGGCCTCATAAAATGAGTTAGAAAAGATTCCCTCTTTTTCTACTGATTGGAATAGTTTCAGAAGGAATGGTACCAGCTCCTCCTTGTACCTCTGGTAGAATTTGGCTGTGAATCCTTCTGGTCCTGGACTTTTTTTGGTTGGTAAGCTATTAATTATTGCCTCAATTTCAGAGCCTGTTATTGGTCTATTCAGAGATTCAACTTCTTCCTTGTTTAGTCTTGGGAGGGTGTAAGTGTCGAGGAATTTATCCATTTTTCTAGTTTATTTGCATAGAGGTGTTTATAGTATTCTCTGATGGTAGTTTGTATTTCTGTGGGATCGGTGGTGATATCCCCTTTGTCATTTTTTATTGTGTCTATTTGATTCTTCTCTCTTTTCTTCTTTATTAGTCTTGCTAGCGGTCTATCAATTTTGTTGATCTTTTCAAAAAACCAAGACCTTTTTTTCTCTATTTCCTTCAATTATGCTCTGATGTTAGTTATTTCTTGCCTCTGCTAGCTTTTCAATGTGTTTGCTCTTGCTTTTCTAGTTCTTTTAATTGTGATGTTAGGGTGTCAATTTTAGATCTTTCCTGCTTTCTCTTGTGGGCATTTAGTGCTATAAATTTCCCTCTACACACTGCTTTGAATGTGTCTCAGAGATTCTGGTATGTTGTGTCTTTGTTCTCATTGGTTTCAAAGAACATGTTTATTTCTGCCTTCATTTCATTATTTACCCAGTAGTCATTCAGGAGCAGGTTGTTCAGTATCCATGTAGTTGAGCAGTTTTGAGTGAGTTTCTGAATCCTGAGTTCCAGTGTGATTGCACTGTGGTCTGAGAGATAGTTTGTTATAATTTCTGTTCTTTTACATTTGCTGAGGAGTGCTTTACTTCCAAATATATGGTCAATTTTGGAGTACGTGTGGTGTGGTGCTGAAAAGAATGTATATTCTGTTGATTTGTGGTGGAGAGTTCTGTAGAAGTCTATTAGGTCCACTTGGTGCAGAGCTGAGTTCAATTCCTGGGTATCCTTGTTCACTTTCTGTCTCATTGATCTGTCTAATGTTGACAGTGGGGTGTTAACGTCTGCTATTATTATTGTGTGGGAGTCTAAGTCTCTTTGTAGGCCACTAAGGACTTGCTTTATAAATCTGAGTGCTCCTGTCTTGGCTGCATATATATTTAGTATAGTTAATTCTTCTTGTTGAATTGATCCCTTTACTATTATGTAATGGCCTTCTTTGTCTCTTTTGATCTTTGTTGGTTTAAAGTCTGTTTTATCAGAGACTAGGATTGCAACCCCTGCCTTCTTTTGTTTTCCATTTGCTTGGTAGATCTTCCTCCATCCCTTTATTTTGAGCCTATGTGTGTCTCTGCACATGAGATGGGTTTCCTGAATGCAGCACACTGATGGGTCTTGACTCTTTATCCAATTTGCCAGTCTGTGTCTTTTAATTGGAGCATTTAGTCCATTTACATTTAAGGTTAGTATTGTTATGTGTGAATTTGATCCTGTCATTCTGATGTTAGCTGGTTATTTTGCTCGTTAGTTGATGCAGTTTCTTCCTAGTCTCAATGTTCTTTACATTTTGGCATGATTTTGCAGCGGCTGGTACCGGTTGTTCCTTTCCATGTTTAGTGCTTACTTCAGGAGCTCTTGTAAGGCAGGCCTGGTGGTGACAAAATGTCTCAGCATTTGCTTGTCTGTAAAGGATTTTATTTCTCCTTCACTTATGAAGCTTAGTTTGGCTGGATATGAAATCCTGGGTTGAAAATTCTTTTCTTTAAGAATGTTGAATATCGGCCCCCACTCTCTTCTGGCTTGTAGAATTTCTGCCAAGAGATCAGCTGCTAGTCTGATGGGCTTCCCTTTGTGGGTAACCCAACCTTTCTCTCTGGCTGCCCTTAACATTTTTTCCTTCATTTCAACTTTGATGAATCTGACAATTATGTGTCCTAGAGTTGCTCTTCTCGAGGAGTATCTTTGTGGCGTTCTCTGTATTTCCTGAATTTGAATGTTGGCCTGCCTTGCTAGGTTGGGGAAGTTCTCCTGGAGAATATCCTGCAGAGTGTTTTCCAACTTCGTTCCATTCTCCCCATCACTTTCAAGTATACCAATCAGATGTAGATTTGGTCTTTTCTAGTCCCATATTTCTTGGATTCTTTGTTCATTTCTTTTTATTCTTTTTTCTCTAAACCTGTCTTCTCACTTCATTTCATTCATTTCATCTTCCATCACTGATACCCTTTCTTCCAGTTGATCACATCAGCCACAGAGCCTTCTGCATTCGTCACGCAGCTCTTGTGCCTTGGTTTTCAGCTCCATCAGGTCCTTTAAGGACTTCTCTTCACTGCTTATTCTAGTTATACATTCATCTAATTTTTTTTTCAAAGTTTTAACTTCTTTGCCATTGGTTCAAATTTCCTCCTGTAGCTCAGAGTACTTTGATCGTTTGAAGCCTTCTTCTCTCAACTCATCAAAGTCATTCTCCATCCCACTTTGTTCCATTGCTGGTGAGGAGCTGCATTCCTTTGGAGGAGGAGAGGCGCTCTGATTTTTAGTTTCCGGTTTTTCTGCTCTGTTTTTTTCCCATCTTTGTGGTTTATCTACCTTTGTTCTTTGATGATGGTGACGTACATATGTTTTTTTTGTGTGGATGTCCTTTATGTTTGTTAGTTTTCCTTCTAACAGACAGGACCCTCAGCTGCAGGTCTGTTGGAGTTTGCTAGAGGTCCATTCCAGACCCTGTTTGCCTGGGTATCAGCAGCGGTGGCTGCAGAACAGCGGATATTCATGAACCATAAATGCTGCTGCCTGATCATTCCTCTGGAAGTTTTGTCTCAGAGGAGTACCTGGCCATGTGGGGTGTCAGTCAGCCCCTACTGGGGTGTGCCTCCCAGTTAGGCTACTCGGGGGTCAGGGACCCACTTGAGGAGGCAGTCTGCCTGTTCTCAGATCTCAAGCTACATGCTGGGAGAACCACTACTCTCTTCAAAGCTGTCAGAGAGGGACATTTAAGTCTGCAGAGGTTACTGCTGTCTTTTTGTTTGTCTGTGCCCTGCCCCCAGAGGTGGAGCCTACAGAGGCAGGCAGGCCTCCTTGAGCTGTGGTGGGTTTCACTCAGTTTGAGCTTCTCAGCCACTTTGTTTACCTGCTGAAGCCTCAGCAATGGCGGGCGCCCCTCCCCCAGCCTCACTGCTGCCTTGCAGTTTGATCTCAGACTGCTGTGCTAACAATGAGCGAGGCTCTGTGGGTGTAGGACCCTCTGAGCCAGGTGTAGGATATAATCTCCTGGTGTGCCGTTTGTTAAGCCCTTTGGAGAAGAGCAGTATTAGGGTGGGAATGACCTGATTTTCCAGGTGCTGTCTGTCACCCCTTTCTTTGACTAGGAAAGGGAATTCCCTGCCCCCTTGTGCTTCCCAGGTGAGGCGATGCCTCACCCTGCTTTGGCTTATGCACAGTGCACTGCACCCACTGTCCTGCACCCACTGTCTGGCACTCCCCAGTGAGATGAACCCAGTACCTCAGTTGGAAATGCAGAAATCACCTGTCTTCTGCATCGCTCTCGCTGGGAGCTGTAGACTGGAGCTGTTCCTATTTGGCCATCTTGGCTCTACCACCTTGGCCATGCTTTTGACCTCATTCTTTAACTGACTGACTTCTTTCTTCATAGGTTGGTTAAAATTTTGTAAAAATGAATACTGGGCCAGGTGTTGTGGCTCAAGCCTGTAAATCTAACCCTTTGGGAGACCAAGGTGGGTGGATTGCTTGAGTCCAGGAGTTTGAGACCAGCCTAGGCAACATAGTGAACCCATCTCTACCAAAAAAAAAAAAAAAATTTCCAAGTGTGTTGGTGCACACCTGCAGACCCAGCTACCCATAATGATGAGGCAGGAGGATAAAGCAGAAGGATTGCTTGAGCCCAGGAGGTCAAGGCTGCTTCAAGCTTTGATTATGCCACTGCATTCCAGCCTGGGCAACAGAGCAAGACCCACGTTTTCAAACTCAGGTACACACCCAAGATCCTGATGCTGGTTGTTCACCTGGGTCATGACTGGAAATTGCCCTCCCCCTTGGACCTAGTGCTTGGCTGGTCCTGCCATAAGTTCCCCTCCTGGGCTCCTGCATTCCTTCCACCCCACCCCAGCTCCCAACTCAGACAAAACAGTGACATCTCTAGTCTGGTTGCGATTCCAACATGAGTACTACTATGCTGTTTTTAATAATATAGCCATTGTAAAACTGACTCACCAGTTTTCCTTACTTCCAAAAGGTAAAAAATCAATCAAACAAATAATAAAAGAAATCTCATGATCAAATGATTTCAGTTTTGCCTCAGTTCTAAATTAACCCTTCAATGCATCAAAGACTTTTAAATTTAATAATTATTATCTGTAATACAAATATTTGGAGATCTAAACAGCAATTTTATTATTCAGAAAACCTTATAATGCATAATAAAAATGCCTCAATATTTATTCTAAAATAATTTGAGACACAAAAAGTGCCTTTTTATGTGTATAAATTTAAGAGGTACAAGTGCAATTTTTTTTACATGGGTATATCACATAGTGGTGAAGTCTTGGCTTTTAGTGTGTATATCACCCCAATAATAATGTACATTATACCCATTAAGTATTTTTTCATTACCTCCCTCCCCCACTTTAATGAAGAATTAGGGTTTTAAAGAAATGAGGACATTCACTTTTAGTATCAATGAACATTTATACAATGCACTTCACTATGAAAGCAGTTAATAATGTCATTCCAAACAAACTAAAGAAAATTATGCACTATTACCTCATTCACCTTCTTTTTTTCCCCTATTTTTATTCATTCTCTTTCTGCTCTTATTGATAAGTGAGTGGCTTCAAAATCTCCCTTGCTGTTCTCCTATCTTTCCAGAGCTCCAACTTATAGGTTATAGTTTATTTATAGCTTCTCTCACATTACTGTCTTTCTTCTCATTCTTACCACAGTCTTCCTACTTCAAGTCTTTTTAGCCTTATTCATGGTTAAAGCAATCTGCATCCAATCTTGTTCTATCCCAATTATTTCAGGTTGACCTGTGCCACAGTCATATGTAGCAACTCTTTTTTGGCTCTTAAATTCTTTGGCAAAATAAAATTATAGTAGAAGAAATAAATAAATAATGGAAAAACACAAGGCAGAACCACATTCACTTGACTGCTCTAATGGGCATTAGTTCCTGGGTGGTTTTAGAGTTTACTTAGAACATTTTCCTTAAGAATGAGGCCAAATCACACAACTGATTTTTCTCTTTAGATTAGGTATTTTTCTCTATGTAGGCAGTGCTTTGCACATAATAGTTGTGTTGAGGGGAAAGATATTAATCTGTTAGCATCCATAGGCTTTTGCTGCTATGCACTCCCTAGGAGGTTCTGTGATGGCTACTAGGTTTTCATGAAAGTTTTAAATAAGAGAGAAATGAAGAGCCTACAGAGGCTATTGGCATTCATCTGGCAAGAGGTGAATGTTACAATTTCTTTAGTACTCACTAAAGAAAGAGACAAAAATAGGATGAGGAAGATAAAGATCATTTGTGAACTGGGATTGAGATAATTTTCAGATATTTGAAGTAGAGAAAGAATCTTTAGCTTTTGATAAAATGCCTATGAGACATTGGGGATGGAATGCAAGGAGGGGTGAAAAAGAGAAATTCAAGAAGTTTAGTTGCATGCTGTGAATATAACCACTGTGACCTTTTAAGATGAAGCAATACAGATATGAAATTGCTTTCAATTATTTTTTGATGCTGGATTGATAGTTCTTTGAATGTGATGCAGGGACAAGCTTGGGCATCAAATAGTCCTGGCATCATTTAGGTTTCACAATGATGACAATGTTCGAAAGCAATTTGATTGCTATAGCAATAGTTAACACTCAGAAGCATGATTCCTAGCATTTTCATGACTTTTGTGAAATTTAAATGCACTCTATTTTCAGTTTTCCTAAAACACCAGCATATACAGTCTCAGATATATAATTATAATAATATATACATGAATTGCTTTTTGTAGGTAACAAAAACAGTGAGCATTCATAATTTTGTTCATCCTTAAAATAATTAGGTAAAATACTTAGGGTAGATGTCATCTCCACTTTACAAATTAGAAAACATATACTCATAAAAGTGAATTACCTTGCTTGAGTTTATGAAAATATATAGGTAGAAATTGGCAAAGTGAAAACTAAAATTATATCTTCAGATTTTTATTTCAGAGTTCCTTAGTAAATGATAGACTCCAAAATTCTTGTGCAAATAGAGAGAAGTACAGAGTTTTTCTGTTTGTGTGTGTGTGTGTGTGTGTGTGTGTTTAGCTTATGCTTTTTCTTAAAGTTTTCTAATTTGATAGAGGACTCAGTAGGCTGTAAGCACTAACAAGCCACAAGACTTTAGAGGTAATTCCTATTGGCAATCTCCTGTTGTCCACTATTCTTCTGAAAGGAAGCTGCTTTCTAAAAAAAATTTTGCTTAGCTGAATCGCAGCCTTGTCACTTGTAAATTGTGTGGTCTTTGTCAAGTCATGTGTGGTATTGATAATAGTATTATCTTGCTGGATATTTGTAAGGATGTAATGTAACAGCATAGGATGTTATCTATCAATATCATCTTGGCCTTCTTTCTTTTCTTTCTCCAGTCATCCCATCCAAACCTGTCAATATATGTCCATCCACCCTCTTCTTTTTTTTTTTTTTTTTTTGGAAACGGAGTCATGCTCTGTTGCCCAGGCTGGAGTGCAGTGGCACGATCTCGGCTCACTGCAACCTCTGCCTCCCGGGTTCAAGGGATTCTTCTGCCTCAGCCTCCTGAGTAGCTGGGACTACAGGCACGCACCACCATGCCTGGCTAATTTTTGCATTTTTAGTACAGATGGGGTCTCATCATATTGGCTAGGCTGGTTTCAAACTCCCGACCTCGTGATCTGCCCACCTCGGCCTCCCAAAGTGCTGCGAATACAGGCGTGAGCCACTGCACCCGTTTCATTTCAATCCCCAAAGGGCAAGCTACATTAAAACATCAACCTTTCCTTTCTGTTTATTTTCTTATGGTTAAACAAGTTCAATGTGCCTCATTTTAAATAATAGTCCAAATTTCACACATACAGAACATTTGTGAAAAATATCGTCAGTATTACCAAAAATACCAACTTAATATGATAAGACAAAAAAAAATACCCAGTGACATAATCTAACTAGCTAATAGTGGTCTAAAATTCATAGCAATATGAAAAATGGCAGGTTTAGTTATGCTATTTTAAAATTACCTTTACTTCAATGTTTTTATATGATTTGAAAAATAAAAAGGAAAACATACAATTGTATTCTCACATTGTACAAACTTTTAAGTTTCATTGTTTTCTTCAACATTGTGAGTCATGATAAGTTTCCCTGCAATTTCATTTTCTGAAAGAATGTAGAGAGGAACACATTTTATTTTATTTATTTATTTATTTATCTTATTTTTTTAACTTGCCAAACATTTATTATGGAAAGTGATAATGTTTCAAATTTTTTCTTCCCTTTGTTTTATATTTTTTAATTGAGCATGATTTTGTTTTCCTGTTCTACATTTTCTACCTTCATTGGAATAATTTTTTACTTATCGTGCCTTTCTCTCTATTTTTTTTTATTATTATGCTTTAAGTTCTAGGGTACCTGTACACAATGTGCAGGTTTGTTACATATGTATACCTGTGCCATGTTGGTGTGCTGCAACCATTAGCTCATCATTTACATTAGGTATATCTCCTAATGCTATCCCTCCCCCTACCCCCCACCCCATGACAGGCCCCTGAGTGTGATGTACCCCTTCCTGTGTCCAAGTGTTCTCAGTGTTCAGTTCCCACCTATGAGTGAGAATATGCGGTGTTTGTTTTTTTTGTCCTTGTGACGGTTTGCTGAGAATGATGGTTTCCAGCTTCATCCATGTACCTACAAAGGACATGAACTCATCCTTTTTTATGGCTGCATAGTATTCCATGGTGTATATGTGCCACATTTTCTTTATCCAGTCTATCATTGATGGACATTTGGGTTGGTTCCAAGTCTTTGCTATTGTGAGTAGGGCCGCAATAAACATACATGCGCATGTGTCTTCATAGCAGCATGATTTATAATCCTTTGGGTATATACCCAGTAATGGGATGGCTGGGTCAAATGGTATTTCTACTTCTAGATCCTTGAGGAATCGCCACACTGTCTTCCACAATGGTTGAACTAGTTTACAGTCCCACCAACAGTGTAAAAGTGGAGAGGAACACATTTTAAATATGGCAGAATACACAGTTAAATTCAATCATTTGATCAGAGATAATCAAAAGGTTGTTAAGCATAAAGTAGCAGATATAATCACAAGGTATCAGGAGAACTTAATTTAAAAGTTTAAAGCAGCAAACAGTTTTTAGGTTATTCTGATTCTCTGAAGCTTTAAAATGTTTACTGATCACTCATGATGTGCAAAATTGATTCAGTGAGGCAGGTGGTGAAAAAAACAGTTAATCAACATTTCTCCCATTGAAGGTTAGAATCAGAAAAGAGAGGATAGGATAAAATATATAGTACATTGTACATATGGCAGAAGATAATGCAATCCATAAAAAGGAGGCATGCAATAACTGTAAAGCAACTCTTAAAAAGGGAGAGACCATATTGTGAAACAGGGTGGGAGACAGTGGCCTAGGACAGTCTGATGGAGACTGGGACATTTGAATTGGGACTGGAAGGAAGTACAATTTCAACAGAGTGGTAGAAACTCTTTAAAGAAGAGTAGTGAAAGACTAGAATTAGACAAAGTCATGTTTAGACTAATAGTGAACTGTACTTTTGTTCAGTTTAAGGCAAGATTGGGTGAGAATATTTCTTGGAAGTAAAGTATGGAGGCCTCTAAAGCCATATTAAAAATTTTAAATTAATTTCATAACCAATGAGGAGTTGCATGATTGAGGCTCTGCTTATGAAAAAGAATCTGTCAATTGCAATTAGAAGTAATTGAAAGGGACAAAAGTGTGGAAAATTAACAATTGTTTAGCTTAAAATAATAAGGATCTGAAATAAACGTGTACACTGGAGTGTTAAGGAGGTAACAAAGGTGAAAACTATTGAAGAGGCAAAATTTACAGAAATTTCAATAATTCTGAAGTATAATATGCATGCCCCTAAGAGCCCATATCTTAAGTTTACTCTGAAGTATACATAAACTCACTTAATTTTCAAAAACTAACACCCAGGTCAAGGAAACGAACACTACTAGTAGCCCTAAAAGACTCCTGCTTCCATTACTGCTTCCACCTGTTATACTGACTTTTAACAGCATAGAAAATTTTCAATTGCTCTGATACTTTATACAAATAAAATTATCCATTATATTCATTTTGTCTGTCCTCTTTCACTCATTATCATCCTTGTGAATGTTTATGCACATTTTTGTTTGTTGGTAGTCTCACTGCTGTAAAGTATTATACTATGTAGGCAAACAATAATTAATTAACCCATTCAACTGTTTGTGGGCATTAGAGTACTTTCCAGTTTGCAGTAATAACATATAATGCTGCTATGAGCTTTTGTGTTCATGCATTTTGGTGAATATATCTAAAATTTCTATTGGATATATACCTCAGGATGGAATCAATGGATCATGTACATATGCAGGTTTAGTAGATAATGACAGTTTTCTTTTTTTAAATTTTATTATTATTATACTTTAAGTTTTAGGGTACATGTGCACAATGTGCAGGTTTGTTACATATGTATACATGTGCCATGTTGGTGTGCTGCACCCATTAACTCGTCATTTAGCATTAGGTGTATCTCCTAATGCTATCCCTCCCCCTCCCCCCACCCCACAACAGTCCCCAGAGTGTGATGTTCCCCTTGCTGTGTCCGGGTGTTCTCATTGTTCAATTTCCACCTATGAGTGAGAACATGCGGTGTTTGGTTTTTTGTCCTTGCGATAGTTTGCTGAGAATGATGGCTTCCAGCTTCATCCATGTGTCTACAAAGGACATGAACTCATCATTTTTTATGGCTACATAGTATTCCATGGTGTATATGTACCACATTTTCTTAATCCATTCTATCGTTGTTGGACATTTAGGTTGGTTCCAAGTCTTTGCTATTGTGAATACTGCCACTATAAACATACGTGTGCATGTGTCTTTACGGCAGCATGATTTATAATCCTTTGGGTATATACCCAGTAATGGGATGGCTGGGTCAAATGGTATTTCTAGTTCTAGATCCCTGAGGAATCACCACACTGACTTCCACAATGGTTGAACTAGTTTAGAGTCCCACCAACAGTGTAAAAGTGTTCCTATTTCTCCACATCCTCTCCAGCACCTGTTGTTTCCTGACTTTTTAATGATCACCATTCTAACTGGTGTGAGATGATATCTAATTGTGGTTTGGATTTGCATTTCTCTGATGGCCAGTGGTGATGAGCATTTTTTCATGTGTTTTTGGCTGCATAAATGTCTTCTTTTGAGAAGTGTCTGTTCATATCCTTCACCCACTTTTTGATGGGGCTGTTTTTTTTCTTGTAAATTTGTTTGAGTTCATTGTAAATTCTGGAAATTAGCCCTTTGTCAGATGAGTAGATTGCAAAAATTTTCTCCCATTCCGTAGGTTGCCTGTTACTCTGATGATAGTTTCTTTTCCTGTGCAGAAGCTCTTTAATTAGATCCCATTTGTCAATTTTGGCTTTTGTTGCCATTGCTTTTGGTGTTTTAGACATGAAGTCCTTGCCCATGCCTATGTCCTGAATGGTATTGCCTAGGTTGTCTTCTAGGGTTTTTATGGTTTTAGGTCTAACATTTAATTCTTTAATCCATCTTGAATTATTTTTTGTATAAGGTGTAAGGAAGGGATCCACTTTCAGCTTTCTAAATATGGCTAGCCAGTTTTCCCAGCACCATTTATTAAATAGGGAATCCTTTCCCCATTGCTTGTTTTTCTCAGGTTTGTCAAAGATCAGATAGTTGTAGATACGTGGCATTATTTCTGAGGGCTCTGATCTGTTCCATTGGTCTATATCTCTGTTTAGGTACCAGTACTATGCTGTTTTGGTTACTGTAGGCTTCTAGTATACTTTGAAGTCAGGTAGCATGATGTCTCCAGCTTTGTTCTTTTGGCTTAGGCTTCACTTGGTGATGCAGGCTCTTTTTTGGTCCCATATGAACTTTAAAGTAGTTTTTTCCAATTCTGTGAAGAAAGTCATTGGTAGCTTGATGGGGATGGCATTGAGTCTATAAATTACCTTGGACAGTATGGCCATTTTCACAATATTGATTTTTCCTACCCATGAGCATGGAATGTTCTTCCATTTCTTTGTATCCTCTTTGATTTCATTGAGCAGTGATTTGTAGTTCTCCTTGAAGAGGTCCTTCACATCCCTTGTAAGTTGGATTCCTAGGTATTTTATTCTCTTTGAAGCAATTGTCAATGGGAGTTCACTCATGATTTGGCTCTCTGTTTGTCTGTTATTGGTGTATAAGAATGCTTGTGATTTTTGTACATTGATTTTGTATCCTGAGACTTTGCTGAAGTTGCTTAACAGCTTGAAGAGATTTTGGGCTGAGACGATGTGGTTTTCTAGATATACAATCATGTCATCTGCAAACAGGGACATTTGACTTCCTCTTTTCCTAATTGAATACCCTTTATTTCCTTCTCCTGCCTGATTGCCCTGGCCAGAACTTCCAACACTATGTTGAATAGGAGTGGTGAGAGAGGGCATTCCTGTCTTGTGCCAGTTTTCAAAGGGAATGCTTCCAGTTTTTGTCCATTCAGTATCATATTGGCTGTGGGTTTGTCATAGATAGCTCTTATTATTTTGAGATACATCCCATCAATACCTGATTTTTTGGGAGTTTTTAGCATGAAAGGTTGTTGAATTTTGTCAAAGGCCTTTTCTGCAGCTATTGAGATAATCATGTGGTTTTTGTCTTTGGTTCTGTTTATATGCTGGATTACATTTAATGATTTGCATATGTGGAACCAGCCTTGCATCCCAGGGATGAAGCCGACTTGATCATAGTGGATAAGCTTTTTGATGTGTTGCTGGATTTGGTTTGCCAGTATTTTATTGAGGACTTTTGCATTGATGTTCATCAAGGATATTGGTCTAAAATTCTCTTTTTTTGTTGTGTCTCTGCCAGGCTTCGGTATCAGAATGATGCTGGCCTCATAAAATGAGTTAGGGAGGATTCCCTCTTTTTCTATTGATTGGAATAGTTTCAGAAGGAATGGTACCAGCTCCTCCTTGTACCTCTGGTAGAATTCGGCTGTGAATCCATCTGGTCCTGGACTTTTTTTGGTTGGTAAGCTATCGATTATTGCCTCAATTTCAGAGCCTGTTATTGGTCTATTCAGAGATTCAACTTCTTCCTTGTTTAGTCTTGGGAGGATGTATGTTTCAAGGAATTTATCCATTTCTTCTAGATTTTCTAGTTTATTTGGGAAGAGGTGTTTATAGTATTCTCTGATAGTAGTTTGTATTTCTGTGGGATTGGTGGTGGTATCCCCTTTATCATTTTTTATTGCGCCTATTTGATTCTTCTCTCTTTTCTTCTTTATTAGTCTTGCTAGCAGTCTATCAATTTTATCGATCCTTTCAAAAAACCAGCTCCTGGATTCATTAATTTTTTGAAGGGTTTTTTGTGTCTCTATTTCCTTCAGTTCTGCTCTGATCTTAGTTATTTCTTGCCTTCTGCTAGCTTTTCAGTGTGTTTGCTCTTGCTTTTCTAGTTCTTTTAATTGTGATGTTAGGGTGTCAATTTTAGATCTTTCCTGCTTTCTCTTGTGGGCATTTAGTGCTATAAATTTCCCTCTACACACTGCTTTGAATGCGTCCCAGAGATTCTGGTATGTTGTGTCTTTGTTCTCGTTGGTTTCAAAGAACATCTTTATTTCTGCCTTCATTTCATTATTTACCCAGTAGTCATTCAGGAGCAGGTTGTTCAGTATCCATGTAGTTGAGCAGTTTTGAGTGAGTTTCTGAATCCTGAGTTCCAGTTTGATTGCACTGTGGTCTGAGAGACAGTTTGTTATAATTTCTGTTCTTTTACATTTGCTGAGGAGAGCTTTACTTCCAACTATGTGGTCAATTTTGGAGTAGGTGTTGTGTGGTGCTGAAAAGAATGTATATTCTGTTGATTTGTGGTGGAGAGTTCTGTAGATGTCTATTAGGTCCGCTTGGTGCAGAGCTGAGTTCAATTCCTGGGTATCCTTGTTCACTTTCTGTCTCGTTGATCTGTCTAATGTTGACAGTGGGGTGTTAACGTCTCCCATTATTAATGTGTGGGGGTCTAAGTCTCTGTGTAGGTCACTAAGAACTTGCTTTATGAATCTGGGTGCTCCTGTCTTGGCTGCATATATATTTAGTATAGTTAATTCTTCTTTTTGAATTGATCCCTTTACCATTATGTAATGGCCTTCTTTGTCTCTTTTGATCTTTGTTGGTTTAAAGTCTGTTTTATCAGAGACTAGGATTGCAACCCCTGCCTTTTTTTGTTTTCCATTTGCTTGGTAGATCTTCCTCCATCCTTTTATTTTGAGCCTATGTGTGTCTCTGCACATGAGATGGGTTTCCCGAATACAGCACACTGATGGGTCTTGACTCTTTCTCCAATTTGCCAGTCTGTGTCTTTTAATTGGAGCATTTAGCCCATTTACACTTAAGGTTAGTAATATTATGTGTGAATTTGATCCTGTCATTATGATGTTAGCTGGTTATTTTGCTCATTAGTTGATGCAGTTTCTTCCTAGCCTTGATGGTCTTTACAATTTGGCATGTTTTTGCAGTGGCTGGTACCATTTGTTCCTTTCCATGTTTACTGCTTCCTTCAGGAGCTCTTTTAGGGCAGGCCTGGTGGTGACACAATGTCTCAGCATTTGCTTGTCTGTAAAGGATTTTATTTCTCCTTCACTTATGAAGCTTAGTTTGGCTGGATATGAAATCCTGGGTTGAAATTTCTTTTCTCTAAGAATGTTGAGGGGAGGAGCCAAGATGGCCGAAAAGGAACAGCTCCGGTCTACAGCTCCCAGCGTGAGCGACGAAGAAGATGGGTGATTTCTGCATTTCCATCTGAGGTACCGGGTTCATCTCACTAGGGAGTGCCAGACAGTGGGCGCAGATCAGTGGGTGCATGCACCGTGCGTGAGCCAAAGCAGGGTGAGGCATTGCCTCACCTGGGAAGCGCAAGGGGTCAGGGAGTTCCCTTTCTGAGTCAAAGAAAGGGGTGACGGACAGCACCTGGAAAATCGGGTCACTCCCACCCGAATACTGCACTTTTCCGACGGGCTTAAAAAAGGGGGCACCACGAGATTATATCCTGCACCTGGCTCGGAGGGTCCTATGCCCACAGAGTTTCACTGATTGCTAGCACAGCAGTCTGAGATCAAACTGCAAGGCTGCAGCGAGGCTGGGGGAGGGGCGCCTGCCATTGCCCAGGCTTGATTAGGTAAACAAAGCAGCCAGGAAGCTCGAACTGGGTGGAGCCCACCACAGCTCAAGGAGGCCTGCCTGCCTCTGTTGGCTCCACCTCTGGGGGCAGGGCACAGACAAACAAAAAGACAGCAGTAACCTCTGCAGACTTAAATGTCCCTGTCTGAGAGCTTTGAAGAGAGCAGTGGTTCTCCCAGCATGCAGCTGGAGATCCGAGAACAGGCAGACTGCCTGCTCAAGTGGGTCCCTGACCCCTGACCCCAGAGCAGCCTAACTGGGAGGCACCCCCCAACAGGGGCACAATGACACCTCACACGGCAGGGTACTCCAACAGACCTGCAGCTGAGGGTCCTGTCTGTTAGAAGGAAAACTAACAAACAGAAAGGACATCCACACCAAAAACCCATCTGTACATCACCATCATCAAAGACCAAAAGTAGATAAAACCACAAAGATGGGGAAAAAAGAACAGAAAAACTGGAAATTCTAAAAAGGAGAGAGCCTCTCCTCCTCCAAAGGAACGCAGTTCCTCACCAGCAATGGAACAAAGCTGGACGGAGAATGACTTTGACGAGCTGAGAGAAGAAGGCTTCAGATGATCAAATTACTCTGAGCTACAGGAGGACATTCAAACCAAAGGCAAAGAAGTTGAAAACTTTGAAAAAAATTTAGAAGAATGTATAACTAGAATAATCAATACAGAGAAGTGCTTAAAGGAGCTGATGGAGCTGAAAACCAAGGCTCGAGAACTATGTGAAGAATGCAGAAGCCTCAGGAGCTGATGTGATCAACTGGAAGAAAGGGTATCAGCGATGGAAGATGAAATGAATGAAATGAAGCGAGAAGGGAAGTCTAGAGAAAAAAGAATAAAAAGAAATGAGCAAAGCCTCCAAGAAATATGGGACTATGTGAAAAGACCAAATCTACTTCTGATTGGTGTACCTGAAACTGATGGGGAGAATGGAACGAAGTTGGAAAATACTCTGCAGGATATTATCCAGGAGAACTTCCCCAATCTAGCAAGGCAGGCCAATGTTCAGATTCAGGAAATACAGAGAACGCCACAAAGATACTCCTTGAGAAGAGCAACTCCAAGACACATAATTGTCACATTCACCAAAGTTGAAATGAAGGAAAAAATGTTAAGGGCAGCCAGAAAGAAAGGTCGGGTGACCCTCAAAGGGAAGCCCATCAGACTAACAGCGGATCTCTCGGCAGAAACCCTACAAGCCAGAAGAGAGTGGGGGCCAATATTCAACATTGTTAAGGAAAAGAATTTTCAACCCAGAATTTCATATCCAACCAAACTAAGCTTCATAAGTGAAGGAGAAATAAAATACTTTACAGACAAGCAAATGCTGAGACATTTTGTCACCACCAGGCCTGCCTTACAAGAGTTCCTGAAGTAAGCACTAAACATGGAAAGGAACAACCGGTACCAGCCGCTGCAAAATCATGCCAAAATGTAAAGAACATCGAGACTAGGAAGAAACTGCATCAACTAACGAGCAAAATAACCAGCTAACATCAGAATGACAGGATCAAATTCACACATAACAATACTAACCTTAAATGTAAATGGACTAAATGCTCCAATAAAAAGACACAGACTGGCAAATTGGATAAAGAGTCAAGACCCATCAGTGTGCTGTATTCAGGAAACCCATCTCACATGCTGAGACACACATAGGCTCAAAATAAAAGGATGGAGGAAGATCTACCAAGCAAATGGAAAACAAAAGAAGGCAGGGGTTGCAATCCTAGTCTCTGATAAAACAGACTTTAAACCAACAAAGATCAAAAGAGACAAAGAAGGCCATTACATAATGGTAAAGGGATCAATTCAACAAGAAGAGCTAACTATCTTAAATATATATGCACCCAATACAGGAGCACCAAGATTCATAAAGCAAGTCCTGAGAGACCTACAAAGAGACTTAGACTCCCACACATTAATAATGGGAGACGTTAACACCCCACTGTCAACATTAGACAGATCAATGAGACAGAAAGTGAACAAGGATATCCAGGAATTGAACTCAGCTCTGCGCCAAGCGGACCTAATAGACATCTACAGAACTCTCTACCCCAAATCAACAGAATATACATTTTTCCAGCACCACTCCACACCTATTCCAAGATTGACCACATACTGGGAAGTAAAGCTCTCCTCAGCAAATGTAAAAGAACAGAAATTATAACAAACTATCTCTCAGACCACAGTGCAATCAAACTGGACTCAGGATTAAGAATCTCACTTAAAACCACTCAACTACATGGAAACTCAACAACCTGCTCCTGAATGACTACTGGGTATATAACGAAATGAAGGCAGAAATAAAGATGTTCTTTGAAACCAACGAGAACAAAGACACAACATACCAGAATCTCTGGGACGCATTCAAAGCAGTGTGTAGAGGGAAATTTATAGCACTAAATGCCCACAAGAGAAAGCAGGAAAGATCCAAAATTGACACCCTAACATCACAATTAAAAGAACTAGAAAAGCAAGAGCAAACACATTCAAAAGCTAGCAGAAGGCAAGAAATAACTAAAATCAGAGCAGAACTGAAGGAAATAGAGACACAAAAAACCCTTCAAAAAATTAATGAATCCAGGAGCTGGTTTTTTGAAAGGATCAACAAAATTGATAGACCGCTAGCAAGACTAATAAAGAAGAAAAGAGAGAAGAATCAAATAGACGCAATAAAAAATGCTAAAGGGGATATCACCACCGATCCCACAGAAATACAAACTACCATCAGGGAATACTACAAACATCTCTATGCAAATAAACTAGAAAATCTAGAAGAAATGGATAAATTCCTGGACACATACACTCTTCCAAGACTAAACAAGGAAGAAGTTGAATCTCTGACTAGACCAATAACAGGAGCTGAAATTGTGGCAATAATCAATAGCTTACCAATCAAAAAGAGTCCAGGACCAGATGGATTCACAGCCGAATTCTACCAGAGGTACAAGGAGGAACTGGTACCATTCCTTCTGAAACTATTCCAATCAATAGAAAAAGAGGGAATCCTCCCTAACTCATTTTATGAGGCCAGCATCATACTGATACCAAAGCCAGGCAGAGACACAACAAAAAAGAGAATTTTAGACCAATATCCTTGATGAACATTGATGCAAAAATCCTCAATAAAATACTGGAAGACCGAATCCAGCAACACATCAAAAAGCTTATCCACCATGATCAAGTGGGCTTCATCCCTGGGATGCAAGGCTGGTTCAATATACGCAAATCAATAAATGTAATCCAGCATATGAACAGAGCCAAAGACAAAAACCACATGATTATCTCAATAGATGCAGAAAAAGCCTTTGACAAAATTCAACAACCCTTCATGCTAAAAACTCTCAATAAATTAGGTATTGATGGGACGTATTTCAAAATAATAAGAGCTATCTATGACAAACACACAGCCAATATCATACTGAATGGGCAAAACCTGGAAGCATTCCCTTTGAAAACTGGCACAAGACAGGGATGCCCTCTCTCACCACTCCTATTCAACATAGTGTTGGAAGTTCTGGCCAGGGCAATTAAGCAGGAGAAGGAAATAAAGGGTATTCAATTAGGAAAAGAGGAAGTCAAATTGTCCCTATTTGCAGACGACATGATTGTATATCTAGAAAGCCCCATTGTCTCAGCCCAAAATCTCCTTAAGCTGATAAGCAACTTCAGCAAAGTCTCAGGATACAAAATCAATGTACAAAAATCACAAGCATTCTTATACACCAACAACAGACAAACAGAGAGCCAAATCATGAGTGAACTCCCATTCACAATTGCTTCAAAGAGAATAAAATACCTAAGAATCCAACTTACAAGGGATGTGAAGGACCTCTTCAAGGAGAACTACAAACCACTGCTCAACGAAATAAAAGAGGATACAAACAAATGGAAGAACATTCCATGCTCATGGGTAGGAAGAATCAATATCGTGAAAATGGCCATACTGCCCAAGGTAATTTATAGACTCAATGCCATCCCCATCAAGCTACCAATGACTTTCTTCACAGAATTGGAAAAAACTACTTTAAAGTTCATATGGAACCAAAAAAGAGCCCGCATCACCAAGTCAATCGTAAGCGAAAAGAACAAAGCTGGAGGCATCACACTACCTGACTTCAAACTATACTACAAGGCTACAGTAACCAAAACAGCATGGTACTGGTACCTAAACAGAGATATAGATCAATGGAACAGAACAGAGCCCTCAGAAATAATGCTGTATATCTACAACTATCTGATCTTTGAGAAACCTGAGAAAAACAAGCAATGGGGAAAGGATTCCCTATTTAATAAATGGTGCTGGGAAAACTGGCTAGCCATATGTAGAAAGCTGAAACTGGATCCCTTCCTTACACCTTATGCAAAAATCAATTCAAGATGGATTAAAGACTTAAACGTTAGACCTAAAACCATAAAAACCCTAGAAGAAAACCTAGGCATTCCCATTCAGGACATAGGCATGGGCAAGGACTTCATGTCTAAAACACCAAAAGCAATGGCAACAAAAGACAAAATTGACAAATGGGATCTAATTAAACTAAAGAGCTTCTGCACAGCAAAAGAAACTACCATCAGAGTGAACAGGCAACCTACAAAATGGGAGAAAATTTTTGCAACCTACTCATCTGACAAAGGGCTAATATCCAGAATCTACAATGAACTCAAACAAATTGACAAGAAAAAAACAAACAACCCCATCAAAAAGTGGGTGAAGGACATGAACAGACACTTCTCAAAAGAAGACATTTATGCAGCCAAAAAACACATGAAAAAATGCTAATCACTGGCCATCAGAGAAATGCAAATCAAAACCACAATGAGATACCATCTCACACCAGTTACAATGGCAATCATTAAAAAGTCAGGAAACAACAGGTGCTGGAGAGGATGTGGAGAAATAGGAACACTTTTACACTGTTGGTGGGACTGTAAACTAGTTCAACCATTGTGGAATTCAGTGTGGCAACTCCTCAGGGATCTAGAACTGGAAATACCATTTGACCCAGCCATCCCATTACTGGGTATATACCCAAAGGACTATAAATCATGCTGCTATAAAGACACATGCACACGTATGTTTATTGCAGCATTATTCACAATAGCAAAGACTTGGAAGCAACCCAAATGTCCAACAATGATAGAATGGATTAAGAAAATGTGGCACATATACACCATGGAATACTATGCAGCCATAAAAAATGATGAGTTCATGTCCTTTGTAGGGACATGGATGAAATTGGAAATCATCATTCTCAGTAAACTATCGCAAGAACAAAAAACCAAACACCGCATATTCTCACTCATAGGTGGGAACTGAACAATGAGAACACATGGACACAGGAAGGGGAATATCACACTCTGGGGACTGTTGTGGGGTGGTGGGACGGGGGAGGGATAGCATCGGGAGATATACCTAATGCTAGATGACGAGTTAGTGGGTGCAGCGCACCAGCATGGCACACGTATACATATGTAACTAACCTGCACAATGTGCACATGTACTCTAAAACTTAAAGTATAATAATAATAAAAAAAAAAGAATGTTGAATATTGGCCCCCACTCTCTTCTGGCTTGTAGAATTTCTGCCGAGAGATCAGCTGCTAGTCTGATGGGCTTCCCTTTGTGGGTAACGCAACCTTTCTCTCTGGCTGCCCTTAACTTTTTTCCCTTCATTTCAACTTTGGTGAATCTGACAATTATGTGTCCTGGAGTTGCTCTTCTCAAGGAGTATCTTTGTGGCATTCTCTGTATTTCCTGAATTTGAATGTTGGCCTGCCTTGCTAGATTGTGGAAGTTCTCCTGGGTAATATCTTCCAGAGTGTTTTCCAACTTGGTTCCATTCTCCCCGTCACTTTCAGGTATACCAGTCAGACGTAGATTTGGCCTTTTCACATAGTCCCATATTTCTTGGATTCTTTGTTTGTTTCTTTTTATTCTTTTTCCTGTAAACTTCTCTTCTCACTTCATTTCATTCATTTCATCTTCCATCGCTGAGACTCTTTCTTCCAGTTGATCGTATCAGTTACTGAGGCTTGTGCATTTGTCACGTAGTTCTCATGCCATGGTTTTCAGCTCCATCAGGTCCTTTAAGGACTTCTCTGCATTTGTTATTCTAGCTATCCATTCATCTAATTTTTTTTCAAAGTTTTTAACTTCTTTGCCATTGGTTCGAACTTCCTCCTTTAGCTCGGAATAGTTTGATCTTCTGAAGCCTTCTTCTCTCAACTCGTCAAAGTCATTCTCCATCCAGCTTTGTTCCATTACTCGTGAGGAGCTGCATTCCTTTGGAGGAGGAGAGGCACTCTGATTTTTAGAGTTTCCGGTTTTTCTCCTCTGATTTTTCCCCATCTTTGTGGTTTTATCTACCTTTGGTCTTTGATGATGGTGACGTACAGATGGGTTTTTGGTGTGGGTGTACTTTCTGTTTGTTAGTTTTCCTTCTACCAGTCAGGACCCTCAGCTACAGGTCTGTTGGAGTTTGCTGGAGGTCCACTCCAGACCCTGTTTTTCTGGGTATCAGCAGCGGTGTCTGCAGAACAGTGGATATTGGTGAACTGCAAATTCTGCTGCCTGATTGTTCCCCTGGAAGTTTTGTCTCAGAGGAGTACCCAGCCATGTGAGGTGTCAGTCCTCCCCTACTGGGGGATGCCTCCCAGTTAGGCTACTCGGGGGTCAGGGACCCACTTGAGGAGGCAGTCTGCCCATTCTCAGATCTGAAGCTGCATACTGGGAGAACCACTACTATCTTCAATGCTGTCAGACAGGGACATTTAAGTCTGCAGAGGTTACTGCTGCCTTTTGTTTGTCTGTGCCCTGCCCCCAGAGGTGGAGCCTACAGAGGCAGGCAGGCCTCCTTGAGCTGTGGTGGATTCCACCCAGTTCAAGCTTCCCAGCCACTTTGTTTACCTAATCAAACAACTAACTGGGCAATAGCGGGCGCCCCTCCCCCAGCCTCACTGCTGCCTTGCAGTTTGATCTCAGACTGCTGTTCGAGCAATGAGTGAGACTCCGTGGGTGTAGGACCCTCTGAGCCATTTGTGGGATATAATCTCCTGGTGTGCCGTTTTTTAAGCCCATTGGAAAAGCACAGTATTAGGGTAGGAGTGACCTGATTTTCCAGGTGCCGTCTGTCACCCTTTTCTTTGACTAGGAAAGGGAATTCCCTGCCCCCTTGTGCTTCCTGGGTGAGGCAATGCCTTGCCCTGCTTTGGCTCGTGCACGGTGCGCTGCACCCACTATCCTGTACCTACTGTCTGGCACTCCCCAGTGAGATGAATCCAGTACCTCAGTTGGAAGTGCAGAAATCACCTTTCTTCTGCATTGCTCATGCTGGGAGCTGTAGGCCGGAGCTGTTCCTATTCAGCCATCTTGGCTCCTCCTCTAATGACAGTTTTCTAAAGTAGTTATACCAATTAACAATCACATCAGACAAAAATGAAAGTTTCAGTTGCTTTGTATCCTTACAAATATTTTGTATTTTCTATTTTTAACATTTTAGTCCTTCTGGCAGGTGTATCATAGTTTTTCTTGATGGGTTTCATTTGCATGTCTTTTAAATAATTTGTAAAATTACCATCTTTTTTTCTCTTTTTTTCCATCTGTATATCCTCTTTGAGATGTGGTAAGAGCTTCTCAAATATTCTGGATATAATTCCTTTGTCAGATACATATGTGGCAAATAACTTCTTTCACTCTCCAAATTGCCATTTCACTCTTTTAATTTTGTCTTCTGATGAAGACAAGTTTTCAATTTTAATGTGGTTTACTGTATCAATTTTATCTTCTCTAATTCATGCAAAGGACATGCTTAGATGCCATAAAGTAAGTACCAATGCCTTAACATGAATCTTTTGTCCAGGTGACTAGAATCTTCTTAACCTTTTTAAGGAGAATGCTAACTTCTTCTTTTACATGACACACATTTACAGGATTTTACAAGTAAAGGTGAAGATATAAAGGATTACTCTAAATTGCCTATTGTGGGTGAACTGGAGTTACCATTGGCAAAATCAGATAAGTCAGTGAAATTCCTATTTAGGGGCAATTATGGCTTAGATTTTAGACACACTGAGTTTGAGGTATTTATGAAACATCTAAGCAGAAATCTCCAGTAGGCCTCAGACTTTAGTAGGAGGGTGATGGTCAGCACTGTGGAATTGTTTGGAATTACTGAGGGGAAGACTGCAGACACAAGAATATGACCAAGAACGAACCTTAATATATGCCTCTAGCTAGTGGTTGGATATTGCAAATCCATATTTCAAATTGTCTATTAGAAATTTTAACTAGAAGCATCCTTGCCTTATACTAGAGGCATTTAAAACAAAACTCATTATCCTTTATCCCCTACTGCTCCCACAGTACTTCACATTTTCATTCTCACTGCACTTCACGTTTCTGGTATCAGCCCTGATTCTTCCAGCCACTTAGACACCAAACTTGGGAGCCAACAGTGACTCCTTGTTCATTTTCATCCCTTTAGTTTGTCATAAAGGTCTGTGAGTTCTTCCATTCCTTTCTTAATTTTATTCTCATTGTCATTCCCTTGATTATTTTAATGATCTCTGAAATGGGTATTTTAAATTCTGGGCTCTTCTCCACTTGAATCCTTTTGTTGCAAAACATTTTTTTTTTAGCTTCTGTTTACTGAGCAAGGCACTGCACAAAGTGGTTACATAAATATGTCCTATAATTTTCATAAAATCCTATTAGGAAATTGGGACTTAGGAGTTTAACTTTCTGATGGTCACACAGAGTCAGGATTCCAACCTAGATATATGGGAGTCTGAAGCCATGTAACTACTGTGCTCTCTTCCTTCACACAATCACCACATCTGTAGTCCTAAAATCCTTTCACATGTTGCCTCTTCCCCACCCCTTTTTCCCATGCAATAAAGTATGAAAGGCTTCTGGCTTGTATGCAAAGCCCTCCATAATATGATTTCCATACATTTCCTCAAACTGTTATCAGTCATCTGGCAAAACTGGTATGATCACTCTCTCCTTAACATAATACACACTAGAGTCTCCACGCCTTATCTCACACCATAGCCTTGGTTGTTACTCCACCGTATCCCTTGCAGCTTAAAATAAATCTAGTGTACCTCTACAATGTAAACTGTAGTTATCTGAAACATTTATGTGTTTGTGCCTGCATGTGTGCTTTTTGAAAGTCTGTCATCCAAATTTTATTTTCTCCCTAAAGAATGAAATTATTTTCATGGCACATCCCATTAGTATTCTCTGTACACACAATACTGTAAATTCTCAAAGTCCCTTTAATACATTTTTATTCTATAGTGATGATTTTTAAGGCATGCTAACTCTTCAGTGGTATCATTTTCACAATTTTGTATCATTAATGAAGACTGTAAAGGCCTTTGTGCCAGCCTAACTACCTTTCTAAGTTAGATATATGTATCGTTTTTGGATATAAAAATTTTCCTACTGACTTCAAGTCACTTGACAGTAATTTTATTCACAAGAAAACTTCAATTCTAATTTTGTTTTAAAAAATGTTAAATAAACGAATGCTTTATATGTGGTGTCTCTCTTTAGTCACCTACTTTCCAATTCATTGAATACATTTGTTAAAATATATCTGACTGTACGTTTTCTTGGTAAAACCTTAGTTTATTGTTCATGATTTAATAACCTAAATGTCGATGGACCTGGTCTCCTAACAGTTGTTCCTTTGTTTAAATTACATTACAAAATTTGACACACATTGTTAGAAAACTACATTTTCATTACCTTATTTTTCTTTTCTACTTAATCATTAAACTTCCTAGAACTTATAAGTTTTTTAAAAATCTTAAAAATCTGGTATTATTTGTTTAGAATTGTGTTTATTTTTTCCACTGTCATAAAATCATAGAGTGGAAGGTGCTTTAGCCATCATCTATTCCAATCTTTCAGCTCATAAATGAGAAAATGAAGACCTGTGGTAGTGCTATGCTTAAAGTCATAGAACTCGTTAGTGCAAGCACTGAGGGTTTCTAAAGTTCTGTCTAACGCTTCTCCATTAAACACACTACTCTATTGTTTTTGTATTTATATTTAATAGGTTTCCTTAGAAATATATAGTTTAAAACTGTCAACAACTGCTTTAATACTGAGCCTTGATCCTCAGAAGCAATTGATTTAACTACTCAAACTCTTTCTTCTGCTGTTTATACATCTAGCTCCAAACAAATATGTTACTTTTTCATATTCTTCAATTCAACTGCAGTGTCTGTAGAATTTTTCCTCACGCTACATGCTCATTCCTCAAGTCCCTATCCTCCCAATATTTTTACATCACAAATTTTGGTAATAACATTTCCTGTCTATATATAATGACTATTTTTTGAAAGCTGGAATTTATAATTGCCTCATTGTAATTTGCTTAATTTATTACATATATATTACTAATTCTTCCCCTAGACTACTTTTGGTAATCAAACAAATCAGGTAAATTCCCCCATGTACCTGTGTGATTCTGGGGTACATAATTTTTAAATAAACTGTTTAGAATAGTTTTAATTTATAGGAAAATTATGAAAATAGTATAAAGAGTTCCCATACACCCATACTCATTTTTTCCTATTATTAGTGTGATACCTTTGTCACAATTAATGAATCAATATTGATTCTTTTTTATTAAGTTCTTCATTCAGATTTCCTTTTTATATAATATCCTTTTTATTTTCCAGAATCTCACCCAGAATACAAACTACATTTAGTTTTTATAACTCCGTAAACTACTCTTGGATGTGACAGTTTCACAGATATTTCTTGTTTTTGGTGAACTTGATAATTCTGAGAAGTGTTGGGGAAATAATTTTAGAATGCCCCTGCTATGGTCTGAGGTTTCTCCCCTGTAATTCATATGTTGAGACCAAATCCTTAGTGCAATAATATTAAGCGGTGGAGTCTCCAGGAGGTAATTAGGTCATGAGGGCTCTACCTCCTAAATGGGATTAGTGCCCTTGTAAAAGAGGCCTGAGGAAACATGCTTGTGCCTTTGCCATGTGAAGATGAAGCAAGAAGGCTCCATCTGTGAAGCAGAGTGAGCCCTCACCAGACACCAGATCTACTGCTGCCTTGGTCTTGGACTTTTTAGCCTTCAACATTGTTAGAAATAAATTTCTGTTACATATAAACCACCAAATCTAAGGTATTTTGTGATATCAGCCTGAATGGACTAAAACAGCCCCTCATTTGGGATTTGATACTTTTCTCATGATTAGATTGAGGTTATGGATTTGGGGGAGGAAGACCACATAATAAAATCCTCATTACAGTGAATCAAGAATACACACCATCAGCATGATGAATCACTGTTGGTGATTGCCTTGATCACTTAGCTGAGCTAGTGTTTGTCAAGTTTCTCGACTCTAAGTTTATTCTATTTTTCCCCCTTTCTGTACTGTCTCTTTTTAGAAGGGAACTAATATTGTTCAGCCCACACTTAAGAGGCTAAGAGATACCATTCCCTTCCTTGAGGGTAGATACCTACATAAATTATTTGGAATTCTTCGGGACAAGAGATTTATCTATTCTTCTTCATTTATTTATATATTCAGTCATTTATGTCGTTATGGATTAATGGATAGTTACTTTACATTTTTGTACTTTAATGTTACTTTATTTTGTTGTTCTAATGATTCTAGCTTTGATCACTGGGAACTCTTTCTGTTGGCTCCTGTGACTCTTTTACACGGAGACACAATGTCCATCATTGTGAGATTTTTTCTTTTACCCTTTTCTTACTTTCTGGCACTAGTATATGCTCCAAGAACATTTTGTATATTTTCCATCCTAGTCTAAAGACCAGCCATTTCTGTAAGGAGTCTTTGTTCCCTTATTGGAGAATGGCATTAGAAATCAAGATTTGGGCATGGGGCATGACTGTTGCTTCTGCAGCATCATTGCTTCCAGGCTTTCTCAGCTGATGGGCAAGGAAATATGTGCATACTAATCTATTCATGCAAGTTACATTTTATATGTCACGTGTGTTTACATTAAGCTAAACATGAGTTCACATTGATATCTTCAGTATATTTCCAAGTCTAATCCTTTATGACATGTATCATTCTAGCCTCCTTTCTTTGCTTATTTCTAACCTTCCATACCAAGAGTGAGAAACATCACTCCCAATTAAGTAAATACATCCCCTGTGTATTTACTTAATTTCTCAATTCCAGTATATATCTTTAGTGGTTTCAGAATTGTTAACCTATAGTTCTGTGAGAAACAACCTTATCTACTAGAGTATAATGCTTATGTTTTGTCTTTATTCCTACAGACCATATTCATTTCCAAATTCAGAACTATTTTCCCCCACTGTAGTAATACAGTTAGATTCTTTTGTTGCATTCTGAGTTCCATTCTAAGATTCCTTGACCTCCTAAATGACTTTTAAAGATTTTCATGCAATAGAGTTAACTATTTGTACTGTAAAATTCTATGGGTTTTGACAAATGCATAGTGTCAGGCAGTCACCATTGTAGTATCATACAAAATCTTTTTCAACACCCTAAAAGCAATCCCTACATTTCACTATTTAACTCTCCTTCTTCCAAACCCTTGGCAAAGACTGATTGGTTTTCCAAGCCCAAATTTTGCCTTTTTCAAAATGTAACATAATTGGCATCCTATAGCACATAGCCTTTCCAGACTGGCTTTTTTCATTTGGCAGCATGCATTTAAGATACATCTGTATCTGTTTATACTTTGACAGCTCATTCCTGTTTCGGTGCTGGATAGCATTACATTATATGAATGTACTTGAATTTGTCTATTTACCTATGTAAAGACATCTTGGTTGTTTTCAGTTTGAGGCCATTATGAATAAAGCTGCTACAAACATTTGTATGTAGGTTTTGTATGAACATAAGTTTTCAAAGCACTTGGGCAGATATCTAAGAGTGCAGATGCTAGATTATATGGCAAGACTATGTTTAGCTTTGCAAGAAACCACCAGTCTTCCAAAATGGCTCCACCATATTTTAATCTCACCAGGAATTAATGAGAATTTGAGTTGCTCTGCATACTTGCCATCATTTGGTATTGTCAGTTTTTTTGTATGCTAAACAATCTAATAGGTGTTTAGTGTTAACTCATTGTTGTTTTAATTTGCATTTTCCTACTGACACATGATGTTAAATGTCTATTTGTATGCTTACTTCCTGTCTGCGTATCATCTTTGATGACATGTTTGTTCAGAACTTTTGCTCACTTTTTCATTGGGCTTTTTTCTTGTTGCTGAGTTTTAAAAGGTTTTTCTGGTATATTTTTGATATAAGTCCTTTATCATATATTTGTGTTGTACATATTTTCTCCCAGTCTATGAATTCTGTTATTGTTTTAACAGTGTCTTTTGCAGAGCAGAAATTTTTAATTTTAATAAGGTTTATTAGATTTTTATTTCATGGATCATGCTTTGGTGCTGTATCTAAAAACTCATCAACAAACCCAAGGTCAATTAGATTTTCTCCCATGTTTCATCCTCCAGAAAATTTATTGTTTTGCATTTTAAATTTAGGTCTCTTTCTTAGTCCATTTGTGCTGCTATAACAAAATACTTGAGGCAGGGTAATTTAGAAAGAAGACAAATTTATTTCTCACAGTTCTGGAGGTGAAGTCCAAGATCAAGGCACCAGCAGGTTTGATGTCTGGTAAGGGCTCCATCTTGGCTTCCAAGAAGTTGCCTTACTGCTGCATCCTCTGGAGGGGTGAAATGCTGTGTCCTCAATGGGTGGCATGAAAGGCAGGGCAAGAAAGGAGCAAACTCCCTCTGTCAAGCCCTTTTATAAGGTCACCTTATCCCATTTATGAGGGCAGGGACTTCATGACTCAGTTACCTCTTAAAGGCCACACTTCTTACTACTGTTGCATTAGGAATTAAGTTTCAACATAAATTTTGACAAAAGCATTCAAACTATAGCAGACTCTGATCCATTTTACATTAATTTTTGTGAAAGACCTGTACATACCTGTTGTAGGAGTGTTCGCTTGTGTGGCTGGCTCACGTGGCAGCATTGAATCCCTCTCAATCTCTTAAGGCAGTGAAAAACCTCAGATGAAGAGTTCTACTCTCTGTAATTTAAACTTTAGCACAAAAACATTTTCTTGGGTATAACTCTAGATTTTTTTCAGCGCACATGTCTATGCTAAAATTTAGTGGCACTGGACACTTAAAAAGTTTCTCTATAACTTTACAGAAAGTTTCTGGCTTTCCCAAATTAGGACTAGATACCTTGCAGAAAATGAAAGAGAAAATTTGAAATATTCTGTATCTTATTTAAAAATTTTCATTTTGCTTGAGCCATGTAAAATTATAAACCAATGCTTATAATTATTTGGTGTTTAATAAAAAATGTTTATTGATCACATTTATAGTTAGTATTCTTAATGATAAAGTGAGATCTTTCTAAATTTATTTAAGATTCTATTTTCAATTTTTTTAAACATTTCCAATTCCAGTTAACTTAGATAATTTTTTAAGTAGAAAAAAAGTTTTACTGAATACAGTTAAGATAGTTGGAAGCTGGGGTCCTAATTTCCTCCCCAGTTTAGAAAATGAAAGAGATATTGGGGATACATTTAAGAGTGAGCCAGGAAAAAAACTCAGACTCTCACTTCTACCATAGCGTTTTCAAGTAAGAAATCATACAGAAAACTGCTATAATATTGGCAACATGGAGTGAGATTATCAGTGAGGGAGGAAAACAGTATTTTTTTAATCAATCAAGAGGAAGTCCCACATGTTCCCAAGTAACACTTTTCATCATACTCCTTTTAATAACCAAAGGATGTACCTTTCAGTGCTGTGGTACCAACTCAGCCCTTTAGTAAGTGTGGGGCCTATGAGTGTCAAGTAAAGAAAGCTGTCAAAATGGAATCAGAATCCTTTGAAAATATTCACCTTTGCAGTGAAGTCATTCTAACTGTGCAGCACTTTTAACTTTTTAACATGTTTCTAAATATTAAGCATGCTAAGCTCTGAATTCTAAGATATAATATCTCAATAGATTCAAATCTTAGTGGATTGGATCTTGACCTGGATATAAGGCTTTCCCTTTTACTGAAACTGAATTTAGACGTAAAAGCTTTTTTTCTTTTTCACTATGGAATAGGAAACTTGACTTACTTAGTGTCTAGCATCAGCTATGACTTTAAGAAACATTTTCTTGCCAGGATTTTGACACTCTTTATTAGTGTCTGCCGAATGGTAGAGAATATATATGAAGCAGAAATCCTCAGAAGATTCTAGCTTGTGGCAAATCTGATAGGAAACAGGTCAAATATAAATCACAGCATTGACAAGGAAGACAACTCTAATTAGCATTTCTATGTATGCTTAATTTTTCAGCATGTTAAGAGAGGGAATATGAAGATGAAACTGTAACTGCTTGTGGCAAAAAAATCTGTTTTCTGGCAGTTTTTGAAAGCATCAACTAAAATAAGAAATTATTAAATATAGATATAAGTTATTTTATATCATACTTATGTAAATATCAAATTTTGATTAAGGTCACCTTTAATCCAAAAAAGAAAAAAAAACTAATATGAATGGATCAAGAAGAATAGTAAAATGATAGGGGAGACTCAGGAAAACAATGGATGTTATTATATGATATTAAGAGAAAATCACTGAGTTAGGATTCAGGAGGACTGAATGTTTGTTTTAGCTCGGCTGCTACATGGCTATTTGATTTTAGGCAAAGTGGTCACTTCATCTCTTGGATTCAATTCCTCCATCTGTTACATGGGGGTCACAGCATCTGAGATCTTTTCCATCTTTCAGTTTCTGTGAATACATAAGAAGAAATAACACAGGTGAAAACATTTTGAGAAATATAAAACTCTACACAAGAGTAAGATGTTACTGTCATTGGTGAAATTTCTTACCTAAAGACAACAGGGGCAGATTTCACAGCTGTTACTGACAAGTGGGGAGATTGTGCAGGTGGGTCATGTAGACATGCTCCTTCAGGCTGAGTCTTGCAGGAGTGAGGAACTTCACACCCAAATAACTGCTGAGAGGAACAGTGCCAGTGATGGCCTCCATGCCTGGGAGTCTTTACAGCAATGTACACAGGACTAGGAGGGCAACATTGCAAAACCTCATAATCTTGTAGCCACTTCTTGAAAGCAGAAATATAATAGGACAATTTCCATAGCAGAATTTTACTTCCTTTAGCCTCCAAAAAGATCAAAGAATTCCCAGGCATCTCTACAGACTGGCCTTCTTCAACTGGCCTTTCTAGCCCTTTAAGAATCAGCATTCTTATGAATATAGGCTTCTTTATTCCTTAAGAAAAAAAGATGAAAAAATGTGATTGGTTATTATTTACTAATATTAACACATATACACTTCATCTGAGAAGTTTCATCTCCAAATGCAGTTGATGAGGGCTGGAAAAGTGGCAAAACGAACACTTGCTTCACTTCAAGTTTCCCTAGGCCCTTCCTCCCTACTGTCCCCACCCCCTTGCCCTCCACAGCTATTTAAAAGATGCCATTTTTATTTATTTATGTACTAATTAAATAGGTAATAATTTACATGATCATCAAAATGATATAAAACAATCCCCTATTAAACATTTTGCCCTGTCTATCCAATTCATCTTCTGAGCCTTGCAATCAGCCTTTTTAGTTGCTTCTGTATGTATTCAGTGTTTCTTTATGTATATCAATACAACTGTTTGCATGTCTTCTTATTTCTCTTCTTTATCACACAAAAAAGTTGTGTGCCAAATACATTCCTGTGCTCCTTGTCCCCAAACTTTTCTAATATAGCCTGCCGTTTATGCCCTTTGTAATGTAATGGTCACATGGTTCCATTTATAGTAAGCAGAAAAAGCCGAGTCTGATTCATTGAAAGGTTATTGCCCTTCTGAGGAGGAAATTAAAACTATGTAGCAATTTTAATTTTAAAGTAAATTCTGGTGCTGTGGCATAGCTGTGACCCTAAGCAACAATCTCATCTCACAGTCTTAGAACATTCTGTTGGCATTTGATGTCCTTAATAGCCCAAAGAAACCACATAAAAGTGCTTTACAAAAAGACTCGTTGAATTCAATTAAATTTAGAAGAAACTTGGCTGTTTTGCTTTTGTTTCACTTTTGCTTTAGTTTAAAAACTGTGAGGATGAGGAAAATAGCTTAGATGTTAAAACTTAAGTAACAAACAGATGGGGAGAAGACAGAAGTGTGAAAAACTGTCAATCTATCCATCCATTCCTGCATGCAGCAAGAATTACTGAGCTCCTGCTGTACTCCAGAAATGATTCCACACCCTGGGGATACAGTGGTAAAAATGCCAAGCTCATAACAGCTTGATGCTTGTATTCTAGGCTCTAGCATATTCTATTACCCTATACAAAGGCACTATGATCTGCCATCAAAATTATTGCTCTGCTTCCTATTTCATCTCCTCATTTCTATCCATCCATCCTTTGATCTACACTCATAACAGCAGCCAGACTTGTTCTGTTAAAAACAAAGGCCAGATGATGGCATCCCTACTCAAAATCCCCCGATAGTTTCTCATCCCCTTTGAGTAAAAGCCAACGTTCTTATAAGGCCTACATGATCTAGCTCTCTTACTGATCAGTGAAACTACATAATAATACATTTAGATATAAAACATTATAAAGACTATGAAAAATGTAGAGTAATATACAGCAGCATTTCTCTTTCCACTGAGCAATATTATGTACTCAGTGTGTACAGATTACTGATGCCACCTCTTTAGATTCCAGGTATGAGAATGGTTATGACTGAGCAGTAAGTACAGGCATTGGCTTCAGTAACCATAGATTACCTTTCATAAAAGCATTGACATATTTAATGGAAGTGGCAGACAAACATTCATTATTTCTGCTGTATCATTGTCCTATCTATCCATTCAGAAAATATGCAAGAAAGCACAGCAGAAAAAAAAAATTGGTTGAAAATAGTAGATTTAGGCCAGGCTGAATTGAAGATTTTTAATTCTTTCCCTTGGAATTTCTCAGAGTTCAGAGACAGTCTCAATAATAAAACAATTCAATGCCTGAAATCAAATATAAATCAATGCCTTCAAAAATACTGTTTTATTTTGCAAATGATTGAAAAGATCCCAACTTTGTGTTTCCCAAAACACCGAAAAGAGGTTTAAAAAGGTGGTTGGCTATATTTCTTTCCAAACAGAGTCAGATATTAAATGTTACAGATAATTTTCAGCCAACTGACCGGAAGACTTTAAAACTATAATAGTTTTATATCCTTCCATGTAACTTTTGGCAAAGCGGATTATACTGCTAGGATTTCCAGACAATATACTAAAAACAAAACGACTCTCAATTCCTTGAAAGAAAATAGTTCATACTATTTACCATGGCTGCATTCCAAACTTTAAATGCAAATAGTACAGTTATATCATAGACACTCAAAAAATCTATTGAATGAATTACTAAACAAATAGATCCAAATAAGTCTTTCTTGCATATTTATTAGTAGAAAGAAAACAAAGAACCAGGACCATCTAGGAGATTTACCTATATTTGGGATAGGAACCTCTCTTCCTCTGGAATTCCTTGCAGTGACATCCATTTAAGTTGTGCTTTAGATCCCATGAAGCAGCATGGGGGTGCAGAAAGAGAAGGCTGGTGGTAGTCAGAGACTCCTGAGCTCATAACATGGCATCCTGTTTGCTAGCTGACAAAGTAATCTTATGTGTGTTAGTTCTGTGGTTCCATTTTGATATCTATAAAATTAGCCTAACACTACCTCCCTTACAGAAACATAGTGAGGATTAAAGGAGGTAATGTCTGTACATATCTCATGGTCTTTGTGCATTTAAGTTCTCTCTCATTGAAATACTCTTTTCTCAACACATTGCTTAGCTGTTTCCTTCTTTTCATATTTTTTCCATAGGTTATTGGGATACAGGAGGTATTTGGTTACATGAATATGTTCTTTAGTGGTGATTTGTGAGATTTTAGTGCACCCATCATCCAAGCAGTATACATTGCACCCTATTTGTAGTCTTTTATGTCTCACCCCTCTACCACTCTTCCCCCCGTCTCCAAAGTCCATTGTATCATTCTTATGCCTTTGCGTCCTCATAGCTTAGCTCCCACATATCAGTGAGAACATACAATGTTTGGTTTTCCATTCCTGAGTCACTTAGCTTAGAATAATAGTCTCCAATCTCACCCAGGTTGCTGCAAATGCTGTTAATTCATTCTTCGTTTTCTCTGGGAAGATACCCAGTAGTGGGATTGCTGGATCAAATGGTAGTTCTAATTTTAGATCTTTAAGGAATCTCCCCACTGTTTTCCATAGTGGCTGTACTAGTTTACATTCCCACCGGCAGTGGAGAAGTGTCCCCTGATCACCCCATCCACACCAACAGCTACTTTTTTTTCATTTTTCGATTATGTCCATTCTTGCAGGAGTAAGGAGGTATTGCATTGTGGTTTTGATTTGCATTCCCCTGATAATTTGTGATGCAGAGGAGTTTTTCATATGTTTTTTGGCCATTTGTATATCTGAGAATTGTCTATTCAGGTCCTTAGTCCACTTTTGGATGGGATTGTTTGTTTTCTTCTTACTGATTTGTTTGAGTTCATCGTGGATTCTGGATATTAGTCCTTTGTCAGATGTATAAATTGTGAAGATATTCTCCCACTCTGTGGGTTGCCTGTTTACTCTGCTGACTGTTCCTTTTGCTGTGCAAAAGTCCCTTTAGTTTAATTAAGTGCCAGCTATTTATCTTTGTTTTTATTGCATTTGCTTTTGGGTTCTTGGTCATGAAATCCTTGCCTAAGCCAATGTCTAGAAGGGGTTTTCCAATGTTATCTTCTAGAATTTTTATAGTCTCATGTCTTAGATTTAAGCCCTTAATCCATCTTGAGTTGCTTTTTGTATAAGGTGAGAGCTGAGGATCCAGTTTCATTCTCCTACTTGTAGCTAGCCAATTATCCCAGCACCATTTGTTGAAAAGGGTGTCCTTTTACTGTTTTGGTTTGGTTTGTTGAAGATCAGCTGGCTGTAAGTATTTGGGTTTATTTCTGGGTTCACTATTCTATTCCATTGGTCTATGTACCTATTTTTGTACCAGTACCATGCTGTTTTGGTGACTATGGCCTTGTAGTATAGTTTAAAATCAGGTAGTGTGATGCATCCAGATTTGTTCTTTTTGCTTAGTCTTGCTTTGGCTATGTGGGCTCCTTTTGGTTCTATGTGAATTTCAGAATTGTTTTTTCTAACTCTGTGAAGAATGATGGTGGTATTTTGATGGGGATTGCATTGAATTTGTAGATTGCTTTTGACAGTATGGTCATTTTCACAATATTGATTCTACCCATCCATGAGCATGGGGTGTGTTTTCATTTGTTTGTGTCGTCAGTGATTTCTTTCAGCAGCGTTTTGTAGTTTTCCTTGTAGAGGCCTTTCACCTCCTTTGTTAGGTATATTTCTAAGTATTTTTATTTTTATTTTTGCAGCTATTTTAAAAGGAGTTGAGTTCTTGATTTGATTCCTACTTGGTCACTGATGGTGTATAGAAGAGCTACTGGTTTGTGTACAATAATCTTGTATGCAGAAACTTTGCTGAATTCTTTCATCAGTTCTCAGAGCTTTCTGGAGGAGTCTTTAAGGTTTTCGAGGTAAACAATCATATCATCAGCAAACAGTGACAGTTTGACTTCCTCTTTACTGATCTTGATGCCCTTTATTTCTTTCTCTTGTCTGATTGCTGTGGTTAGGACTTCTAGTACTATGCTGATGAGGAGTGGTCTGAAAGTAGGCATCCTTGTCTTGTTTCATTTCTCTTTTTTTTTAATTTTAATTTTAATTTTAATTTTTGTTTTTGTTTTTGTTTTTTTTGTGTGTTTTTTTTTTGTTTTGTTTTGTTTTTGTTTCATTTCTCAGAGGGAATGTTTTCAACTTTTCTCCATTCAGTATTATGTTGGCTGTGGGTTTTTCATAGATGGCTTTAATTACATTAAGGTATGTCCCTCGTATGCCAATTTTGCTGAGAGTTTTAATCATAAAGCGATGTTGCATTTTGTCAAATGCTTTTTCTGCATCTATAGAGATGATCATATGATTTTTGTTTTAAATTCTGTTTATGTGGTGTATCACATTTATTGACTTGAGTATGTTAAACCATCCCTGCATCCCTGGTATGAAATCCACTTGATCATGGTGGATTCTCTTTTTGATATGCTGCTGGATTCGGTTAGCTAGTAATTTGTTAAGGATTTTAGCATCTAACTTCATCAGGGATATTGGTCCGTAGTTTTCTTTTTTGGTTATGTCATTTCCTGGTTTTGGTATTAGGGTGATGCTGGCTTCATAGAATGGATTAGGGAAGGTTCCCTCTTTATTTTGTGGAATAGTGTCAAAGGGATTTTTGCCACTTCTTCTTTCAATGTCTGGTAGAATTCTGCTGTGAATCCATCTGGTCCTGGACTTTTTTTTTGTTGCTAATTTTTAAATTACCATTTGCATCTCACTCCTTGTTATTGGTCTGTTCAGGGTATCTAATTCTTCCTGACTTAAGCTGGAAGGGCTGTTTTTCCAGGAATTTATCCATCTCTTCTAGTTTTTCTAGTTTATGTGCATAAAAGTGTTCACAGCTGCCTTGAATGATCTTTTTTATTCCCGTGTTGTCAGTTGTAATAATTGTTTCCTTTCTTAATGAGGTTATTTGGATTTTCTCTCTTCTTTACTTGGTTAATCTTGCTAATGGTCTATCAATTTTATTTATCTTTTCAAGGAACCAGCTTTTTGTTTCATTTATATTTTTATTTTTTTATGTTTCAATTTCTTGTAGTTCTGCTCTGATCTTTGTTATTCATTGTGCTATTTGTTGCCTGTGTATCTTGGGTGTTTGGTTTTTTTGTTTTTGCTTTTTAACTTGTATTTTTGTTTTATAGGTCCTGTGTGATTTATGCTTTAAAGAGTTCTCTTTTGATATGTTTCCAGGATTTATTTCAAGATTTAGAGCTCCTTGTAGCAGTTCTTGTAGTGGTGGCTTGGCAGTGGCGAATTCTCTCAGCATTTGTTTGTCTGAAAAAGACTGTAACTTTCCTTCATGTGATGCTTAGTTTTGCTGAATGTAAAATTCCTGGCTGATAATTGTTTTGTTTGAGGAGGCTGAAGATAGGGCCCCCAATTCCTTCTAGCTTGTAGTGTTTCTGCTGAAAAATCTGCTATTAATCTGATAGGTTTTCCTTTATAAGTTACCTGGTGCTTCTGTCTCACAGCTCTTAAGATTCTTTTCCTCGTCTTAACTTTGGATAACCTGATGAAAATGTGCCTAGGTGAAGAACTTTTTGCAACGAATTTCCCAGGAATACTGATTATTTTTAGGTTTGGTCATTTAGCATAGAGGCTTTGTTCATATTTTCTTATTCTTTTTTCTTTGTCTTTGTTGGATGGGTTAATTTGAAGACCTTGTGTTTGAGCTCTGAATTTCTTTCTTCTACTTCTTCATTTCTATTGCTGAGACTTTTCAGAGAGCACTTTGCATTTCTATAAGTGTGTCTGTTTCCTGAAGCTTTGATTGTTTTTTTTCTTTATGCTATCTATTTCCTTGAATATGTCTCCCTTCAATTCTTGTATTGGTATTGGATTTTCTTGCATTGGGCTTCACCTTTCTCTGGTGTCTCCTTGTTTAGCTTCATAACTAACCTCCTGAATTCTTTTTCAGGTATGTCAGGGATTTCTTCTTTGTTTGATTCATTGCTGGTGAGCTAGTGTGGTTTTTTGGGGATGTTAAAGAAACTTGTTTTGTCAGATTACCAGAGCTGGTTTTCTGGTTCCTTCTCATTTGGGTATGCTTTGTCAGAGGGAAGTTCTAGAGCTGAAGCTGTTCAGATTCTTTTGTCCTACGGGGTTTTTCCTTGATGTAGTACTCTCCCCCTTTTCCAATAGATGTGGCTTCCTGAGAGCCAAGCTACAGTGATTGTTATCTCTCTTCTGGATCTAGCCACCCAGCAAGTCTACCAGGCTCCATGCTAGTACTAGGGGTTGTCTGCACAGAGTCCTGTGACATGAACCATCTGTGGGTCTCTCAGCCATTAATACCAGCACTTGTTCCAGTGCAGGTGGCAGGGGTGGTGAAATGGACTCTGTGAGGAGTTCTTAGCTTTGGTGGATTAATGATTTATTTTTGTGTTGGTTGGCCTCCTGCCAGAGGTGGCACTTTCCAGAAAGCATTAGCTGTGATAGTATGGAGAGGAACAAGTGGTGGGCAGGGCCCTAGAACTCCCAAGAGTATATGATTTTTGTCTTCAGCTACCAGGGACGGAAGAGAAGGCCCATCAGGTGGGGGCATGACTAGGCTTATCTGAGCTCAGGCTCTCCATGGGTGGGTCTTGCTGTGGCTGCTGTAGGGGATGGGGGTGAGGTTCCCAGATCAATGCAGTTGTGTACCTAGGAGGATTATGGCTGCTTCTGCTGAGTCATTCAGGTTGTCACGGAAGTGGGGGAGGCTGGCAGTCACAGGCCTCACACAGCTCCCATGCAATCCAAAGGGCTGGTCTCACTCCCACTGTGCCTCCACCTAACAGCACTGAGTCTGTTTCCAGGCAGTGAGCAAGCAGGGCTTGAGAACTTGCCCCAGGCTACCCACCTCCCAGCTGTGAAAGTAAGGGCTTTGGTTCTTCCCCCTGCCTGTGAAGTCTGTATGCCAGATTCATGCCCTCCCCTATTGCGGTGATCAGACCCAACACCAGGCCATGGGGGCTACGAGGTCCAACAGAGTCAACGGAATGAGACAAGACAAGTTACGAGTACATAGGGTGGGTCCAGGGGGCCAATGCTAGTATGGAGGCTGCAAAGCCCCTGAGCTCTGGGAGCCCACACTATTTATTGGTAATCAAACAAAGAAGCAGGTGGTGAGGGTGTGCAGACATAGGGGTAGACAGGTGAGGACGTGAGGATGTGGGGGTAGAAAGGTAGTGGTACATCAAGTGTAGCTGTGATGGTTTAGCATATGCTCTGCTACTTGAGATAATGGAGAGCAGGTTCTTTTAACTCAAGATACAATCGATCCTGGGAGAGCAAGGAGCAAGGAGCCAGCGAGTCTGGACACATTCCCAAGGCCACAAGGGGTTAATGCCCTGAGCCCTGGATTATCTCCAAGCCACGAGGGGTTTTATGCCCTGGGCTTAGATTATGGTGTGGCAGGGCAGCCTTCCACCCTTTGGCACAGAGCTTGGTGTTCCATAGGCCATGAGAGGTTTTAGACCCTGGACCCAGGACATGTTCCAAGACTCTTTTACATTACGTCAGACAAGCAAGCCCTGCCTGAGCCCTTGCACCAACATCCCCTGAATTCTGGCCAGGAGGCTTCTCACCTGGTTCAAATTGTTACAAAGTTCAGCTGGAGACCTCTCTGTGGCATTTTCCTTGCACCTCTGGCCACCCTCCCAAAGGATCCCTGTGGTTCCAGGTAGGAATGGCCTGCTTGGGGACCCAGTGAGCTCCCAGGGCCTTTCCTGCTGCTTCCTCTACCCCTGTATTGTGCTCGGCTCTCTAAATTGACTCAGCTTCAGGTAAGGTCAGAAACTTCTGCAAACTAGACCTTGAGTTTCCCTGTGGGGGTGTATGTTTGGGAGTAGAGGATCTCCCTTTCCGACTTCTGCAGTTTGGGCACTGACAGTATTTGGGGTGTCTCCCAGGTTCTACAGGAACAGTCCACTTCCTTTAGAGGGTCTGTGGGTCCTCTTGGGATTCCTGCAGTCATTTGTTCTTGCAGTCATTCCGGAGCTAAAATTCCATGATATGAGCCTCTGCATGCTGCTCCATCTATCTGAGTCAGAGCTGCAATCTAGTCCTGCCTCCTGTCCGCCATGATGAACTTTGGTCAAGCAGCTGTTTCCTTCAGGTTTTGACACAAATATTTCCTTCTAATTGATACCTTCACCTATCTCTCAGGGTCCCCCTCTTGACTTATCTCTATTATATCACCCTTTTAACATTTTCTTCATAGCACTTACTTGTATCTGAAATTACAGTCAGGTGCCACATAAGGATGTCGGGGTCATCAATGGGCTTCATGTATGATGGTGGTCCCATAAGATTATAATACAGTATTTTTACTGTACATTTTCTATGTTTAAAAACATAAATATTTACCATTGTGTTACAGTTGCCAACAATATTTGATACAGTAACATGCTGTAAAGGTTTATAGCCTAGGAGCCATAGGCTATACCATATAGCATAGGCGTGTAGTAGGATACACCCTCTAGGTTTGTGTAAGTACAGTATAATGTTCACAAACAGACGAAATCACCTAACAATGTATTTTTCAAAATGTATCCCCGTTGTTAAGTGACACATGACTGAATGCTGTTTCGTTGATTATGATCTGTCTCTTTTACTAGAATGTAACCTCTTTGAAACCAGGAACCTTGTCTACCTAGCTCACTGCTTCATCCCCAGCCTTGAAAAGTAAATGTGCTGTATGAATGAATAACAATTTCTAGCTCACAGTTGTTATTCAATACATGTCAATTTACCCTATTTTCCTGGGGCATGGCCAATATTTAAAATAGTTCAGAACATATCACAAGTGATCAATATTTATTGACATTGATCATTGATTATTGATACTTATTGATATGGAAAAACAGGAAAAAATTTTGTACTGCAAGAACTTCTAGATTGAGTCCTGAAAACATGTCCTTTAGTATATTTACTTTGATTTTCACAAACCTATACATGTGGCTATTTTTGCTTGCAAAATATGTTCTCATCTGAATGTGAACCCATATGGCACTTCCAACCACCAACTCTATATAAAATTGGATAACAAAGTCTCTGGAGGTTTAAGATAAGTAATGTTTTCAGCCAAAAATTCACTTCAGAATGGTTAGTTTTCTTCTTTGTCTTTGTTTACCATGTCTTATGAGTGATGACTAGTTTCAAAAAGACTTTTATTTCACTTTTTGCGAAGGGCAGTAGTCAGAAAAGAAAGGAACTGATCTTGGACTTGAAGAAACAGCCCCAGAGGTGAAAGAGATAGTCGTTAACCTGCACAGCCTCTTTCCAGCCTCTTCACAGATAACAAGGGCTTTCGGAACAAGAAACTTGTATATTCTGTGCAGCTCAAATAAAATTAAGAAGCTGAACATCAGTTGACAAAGAGTAAAAAATAACTGGGAGTTGACGGGAAAATAAACTGTCGTTTATGAAAATGTAGCTTATTCCAGAACACCAGATTTCAAAAGATACAGAATCCTGTTGCTCCACAATTCAATTTGTCCTACAGTAAGTAACTTTAATTTATAAATTACTATAAGTCATTTCACTGCATATAAGTGTTTTATTTACATCCAATAGTACAAAGTATTTGTGGTATTTCTTTTAAAAATTACAGTAAAATATTCTTTATAAAGTAGATAACTAATGTCCACATAAAGAACAAGAAATAATGCAAACCTCAAACATGGCTAATCATAATGAAGGTGGAATGAATCCAATATGAAATTTTTTGGACAGGTCTTTGCTTTACATGATCATTTACTCTCCAGCCAAAATTACATTTAGTCCTTTAATTTTTCCAGCTACCCAAATAAACCTGAGGTTAATTGTTTTCCAACTCTGAGTCCTGAATTGCACACTATCAAAAATGTACCTATAAATGTATTTCAAATTTACTATCTTTTCAAAGAGGATTAGGTTTTAGTTTTAAAAAACTGTTTTAGAACATGAATTGCCATTTCCTGGGAGGGGCCTATGTAAAAACTTAGGAAACCTCCAAACCATGGCAAGTTCACAAGTGCATTTTCCCTGGCGTAGATTTCCTTATACTGAATCCTGGCTCTGCCATTTACTAGCTGTGTGATGGAAAAGTTATTTCATTATTTAGTTCTTCAACATCTTCATCTGTAAAATGGGTATAATATGGAATTATACCTACTTTATATGATTATCTGTAATAGTTCCTGTGAGGATTAAATTACTTAATCATGGAAACCTCATAAAACAGTATCTGCCATGTAGTAAAATTCAGTAGTATTTCACTTGTATTTAAAGATAACAAAGGCTTTTTTGGCTCTGGAACCAGAGTAATCAAAGGTAATGAAAGAAAGAAACTCAGTCCTAATCCTTCTTTCCTTAATGACTGCTAAGGTGATATGAGCATAGGGATCCTGTTGGTCATTATTCCTGACTCAATGGAAGAATCTGCCTGTAGTAGGAGAGGAAAAGCCAACAGTCAAAGAGAAATAAAGACAAGGAAAAATATTCTGAGGGCCAGTTCTAGCCCTGAGGCTCTAGGAAGGGCTTAAAACTTTATAGCTGTTTCTCTGATTCCCCAATAAATTCCTTTTCATTTTATTTTGTTTGTACTTAAGTTGGGGTTATTTTTCTGTTATGTAGAAGTAACAGGTCATCGCTGGAACATGGACTAAGTTAGTGATACCTGGATGAAACAGGCAGAAAGATCACACATTTACTTAAGGCTTGTTAGGCTGTTGGGCCTCAGTCTAACTCCAGAGTCCATTTCACCAGGCCCTTTCCTCAGGGCCTTTGACATTGGGAGGGACAGAAAGATGACATAGGATGAACTCATGAAAGTGAAGTAGGAAGGGAAGAAATCACAGAAAGAGAAACAGGTTGTATATGGCTCTGGAATGAATAATTTTTTCCCCCAAAGTGGGACTTCAGAATTCTAACAATAATTCCAAATAGAAGACTCCACAATATTCAGAACACAGAAAAATCATTTAAATAAAGGTAGACCCACACAGGGACTATTTTGGATTCTTACTTATACATAAAACCAACTATTTACTAAGAACTTTGGTATGTTAATCATTTAAAATGCCCTAAGAGGAAAATTTAAGATTCTGGTGACAGTTGCAATCTACTCTTTTATAACAAAGTTCAAGACTTATGGCTGAGATTATTCTTTTATTCTTGCAGGACTTTGAATCACATAATTTAATGATACATAGCACATCTGAGGCCAATGCCTAAAAGTATCAGAGTTCTCAGCTGATGAACCAAAAAAATAGTACATGAACTAATAAGGAAAAGTTGAGAATGAGTAAATTCACATATTAAAGTACATAACATCATGAAGGTGAGCTAAATGTCCAGTTCTCACAACATGGCAGCATAAGAGAGCAGAAATGCCTGCTGTCTAAGCTACCAGCTGCTGTCTAATATCAATTCTAATTATAATAAATGAATATTTTTAAAAAGACAGCAAAGTAGGAATCCATGAATCAGTTTCCCCAAAATCCATCTGTGGCTGACTTAAAAAGCAACTACAAATTCTTCCCTCTTCATGCAAGCCCATTGGTGGTACCCTTGCATGGTGACTGGACTTGGCTATGTGATTTACTTTGTCCAGTGAAACAGTGGCAAACATAAAACAAGCAGCAACTTGAAAACTACTTGTATATTGTGGTTTGCCCTTTCTTGATCCTCTTGGGACTGCTGACAAGGCTACCATGTTAAAATTTCCAGGCTAGCAAGTTGGACACATATAGTCCAGGCTTCCCAACACCCTCAGTCAATAGGTGGTCACACTCCTTTGCTTTGACATGCAAAATGGTTTAGCTGAACTTGTAGGTGTAACTGAGACCAGCGGAAAATCACGCAGTTTAGCCCAGTCCAAATTTCTGACCAACAGAGCTATGAGCTGAATATTTGTTGTTTTATTTATATAATACAATATTTGTATAAATATTGTACTAGTTGTAAATAGTTGTTTAAACTATAATGATTATTGCTATTCAGTTTGTAATTATAAATTTGTTGATATTCACTTTATGTTGTGTTCTATAAGAGCAAAAACAAGATAATGATTTTGAATGTAAAATTCTATAGAATTGCTTAGTAAGGATAATAAACTGCTATACCAAATCATGTATGAGTAAATCAGTGCAAATTAAATCATGTTTTTGAGAAGCACAAGAACTATTTCATTATGTATAAGATTTCCCTATTTTTAATTAGCAAGGTGGATAACATAAATGAACACTGTCCACCCACATAAGTGAGTTGACTGTATTTGTCTTCAGGGTCAGACAGTAATGTGGGTAGATGGCATCCAATAATGGTCTTGCTTATTTATGTGGATAAAAAAGCATCCCTTCCTTGATATCAGCCAAAAAAAAAAAACAGCAAAAAATCACTATCACACCAAGCAATATAATTATGAAAACAAATGAGATCAAAATAAATGCTAGCTTTTTAATATTATTTGATATGCCTAGATTTGGAAAGATCTAGGTAAACATTTAGGTATGATGATCCACAATTTAAAAAGCATCAATATAACATCAAACATTAAATTCAAACTGAACCTCAGTGACTCAGAGCTCCAACATCTTCAGAGAGCAGCTTTGGAACTGACTGCCTGAAGAATTTATCGATATAACTGCAAGACAAAGGATATTGTTTCGAACAGGGTAAATGGCAAAAGAGAAATGAGCTGCAACTACAACTGCTGATGTTGCAAAGAGAAATGGCTTTTTATCTTTAGCCTTGATTTCTTTTCATGTCTTTATTTTTCTATACATATTAATATGTGATAATATTTTAATTTTAAATAGCATCAGACAGACATTCACTGGTGATGTTTGTCAAATGTTTTATATCAAAGCAAATCACCACCACTATAATTCTAATTATCAAAAATACAAAGTAGAGAATTTTCTTTTTACAGCTGGCATACACACACACACGTGCACATATGGGCATACGCATACAAATATATTTCTAAGAAATGTTTATTTAGAACATTACATTGTTTATTTAGGACATTACTTATTTTTAAATGTTAAATGTTTCTAAATAATAAATATATATAAATTTCTAAATAAATATTCTGACATATTTCTATAAAAGGAATATATAATATATTACATATTAAAATCATTAATACAAATATTAATAAGTATATTAATAATACAAATAATTCCAAAAAAGCATTAATAATACAAAGCATTAATAATACAAATATTGCAAAAATTGAATAAATTGATATGGTTTGGTCATGTTAGTGACCATAGAAAGTCTACACATTGGTGAGCCGAGATTGCGCCACAGCACTCCAGCCTGGGAGACAGAGCGAGACTCCGTCTCAAAAAAAAAAGGAAAGTCTACACATTGATTGGTTAATCTAAATCTTGACTCTCTTCTAATCCATAGCCTCCCTGCTATTTTTCTTTTAGGAAGGCATTCTAGTGGAAAAATATATTGGCCTTTGAACATTAAGGTAGTTGCATCTCAGATAAAAGAATAGAAAATAAGTACTCCATACAGTGTTGCTAGACTAAAATTTAGTAGACTTAAATTTAACCAGAGTTTTGTATTTAAATAATATAAAATTATTCTAGTTTGGTCTCCTTGGGCATCTAGTTATTCATATTCATTAAGTCAGTCAAAAGCTCTTTCTTGAACATTTGCTATGTTTATATGCTGTCTATTTGTGAATGTGACAGACACAGTCTTTGGATTCATGAAGCTTATAGTCTAGTAAGAAATACAGATAAGTAAGTTAGCAACTTGAATGGTGTGATGATGGCTGTAAGTACAGAAAAACATATTCAGTTATGAGGAGGAGAGCAATGTCATGAAAAGCTTCCTGACATTATATATCCTTTTATATCTTATCTTTTCATTGCATATTAAATTATGCATACTGCTACAGCAAACTGCAAATGAAGAGCTTCGGGTACTTGGCAAATAACCATTGATTGGTCCAGTTATTATATTTTTATGGGAGCCATGAGAAAAAATAGGGAAAATAAAACCACACATATATACTTGTATTTATTACATTAAAATGTTTCTGGTTGTTATAAAAATGGCATATTGCTATATTGGCTGTATCAATGGATATTGTTCTTGTTCATACCTCCTTATCATGAGAGCAGCTAGAATTGTTTCTAAATAAAGCTGAAGCAACATGAGAATTACATTTTTAATGTAACCTATTCTGCTATGCTGGCCATAACTAAGGACCATCAATTGGCATCTGAGTCAAAGGAAAATATTCATGGGTTATATTGAGTGAGTCCTACTATGGCTCAGATGGAAGCCTATTGTGTGTGTTGTGAGTGGGAACCAGAGTAGACCAAATAGAATCTCTGTGGGTTTGAGTGTGGGGAAGGAGACAGAAGATGAAAAAGAGGGTAGATATTTTGAACTCAAGTTTTATCTCAAGTCTCACTTCTTGATGAGGCTTTGCTATACATTCCAATGCTAAAAGTTCTAGGGCCCACCAGGGAGAGACTATGTAGATGGAAGCAAAATATCCTCTCCTAACTCATGTTTCTCTACTCTCAATGACTTTCCGTATTTCTTCCTTGCATCGGTAAAATGCCCAACTAATGTAATTCTAAATAATGTACCAAATGTAACATTTATTTTAGAACATCAAATGGAACATTTAGAACATTTTAGAACATCTCTGTTTTGGGAAGACAAGGTCATTAACTGTAATAATTAGCAAGTATACAAAAAAGTGACCAAAATCTGTGTCTTTTTAAGTTAAAGAAGGAACTGACATTTTAAATGATGTAAAAAGCCATTTTAAAACATTCCTGAAAATAGCAACAATGAACGATTCAATTATCTAACACTATTTAACATCATACAAAAATTATGATAAAAGTTAATAAAACTATTTGTTGTATTGCCTCAGTCATATTAAATAAATTATGCATAAACCTTACACTGTGTGCAATTAACAGCCATTTAATACTTTTTGTATGTATTTTCCTTTCTCATTTGATCTAATAGGTTCACCTTCCTAAGTTCACCTTCCTAGGTTCACACAGCATGCTAATGGCAGAACCAGGACTTGAATCCAGGTATTCTGACTCTAGCTCAAGTGTTCTGTATTTATAGCTGAATAACTATTTTAGACAAGGACAGTCTATCAAAATTTAGTGTGTAGCAGAAAGTTGGCTGGTTATTTTGTTCAATGTATTTCTCCTTTACTTATTAGAGAAAAGTTATTTCAATAATTACAAAATAGTTATCAATTCGAATATTTTAAAGGTTTTGATCTTGGTTAATTTACCCTTATCAAATATTAAGCCCAAATTACAAAGCCCTTAAAAAATATGAAGCCAAATTCAATTAAAATTTTTTTCTTAGATGCCTGCTAATTATTTCTCATAATAAGCTAGTTTTCTTCCAAAAACTACACCATTATTTCAATTCGATGAAAATTTGTTCTTGATGAAGGAAAACTGGATTTGGAAGATAGAAAAATTAAGTTAATCCTCTGACATTGTAATGATAAACATTTAACTCAGAATTTACTGAAAAAAAATTAGAGTATATCTAGAGATTCAGATTACATGCAAACAAATTTACAGTCTTCCAAATTGCATTATTTGTCTTTTGAAACGGAGAAAATCTCATTGGATGATCAATAGTTCACAGAATTTTTCATATGTTAATAAAGAGAAAAAATTAACACAAGGAAAGGTCCAGTATAATACCAAACATTACAAAACAGAAAAGATCCAGTCTATCAACATTCTAGCTACACAGAATTCAAACATCAAGCTAGGTGTCAGGTTGCATTATATGTAACTCAAAACCATTTGGAGATTTGGAGAAACTTCCAAATTGCATTCCTTTCAGAAAGCTAAAATCCATGACTATTTTAAAAAATTTACCTTCCATGTCACTCACATTACATAACAAATAGAATCACTGCTTTCATTCCTTATCAAGTAACCTGCTCTATAGCACAGCTATCAGAGAATGGCAGGCTGCTTTTCTAATGGCCTGATTAAGGGAAACAAGAATTTCCCATAGAGAAGCTTTTGGAAGCCTTTTATTACTATATATACATTACTATATTTTTATTACTCTCTATATATTACTATATATATATAAAACAAATTCCACATTTATTAAAACTATTTATAAATTCCAGGTTTGACTGGTATTCCAATTGGAAAGAAAGAGAAAATATCAAGGTTTCTACATATTCTTTTTTTTTTTGAGACGGAGTCTCGCTCTGTCACCCAGGCTGAAGTGCAGTGGTGCGATCTCCGCTCACTGCAAGCTCCGCCTCCCGGGGTCCCGCCATTCTCCTGCCTCAGTCTCCCGAGTAGTTGGGACTACAGGCGCCCGCCACCACCCCCGGCTGATTTTTTTGTATTTTTAGTAGAGAGGAGGTTTCACAGTGTTAGCCAGGATGGTCTCAATCTCCTGACCTCGTGATCGCCCGCCTCGGCCTCCCAAAGTGCTGGGATTACAGGTGTGAGCCACCGCGCCCGGCCCTAAATACTTTTTTTTTTTTTGAGATGGAGTCGCTCTGTTGCCCAGGCTGGAGTGCAATGGCACGATCTCAGCTCACCGCAACCTCCGCCTCCCGGGTTCAAGCGATTCTCCTGTCTCAGCCTCCAGAGTAGTTGGGATTACAGGCATGCACCACCACGCCCGGCTAATTTTATATTTTTAGTAGAGACAGGGTTTCTCCATGTTGATCAGGCTGATCTCGAACTCCTGATCTCAGGTGATCCACCCGCCTCGGCCTCCCAAAGTGCTGGGATTACAGGCGTGAGCCACTGTGCCAGGCCTTACGTATTCTTAATTATGGGGAATAGAATGCAGCTATGATTATCTGCTTCAAGCTTCTAACCACATGTTTTCAAAATGCTCAATGACAAAAATAAGCAAATATATTTGCTTAAAGCTAAAAATGTTCAAAGAATGCATTTAAAAAAATGAAAAAATCACTAGCATCTGTGACATTATGAAGGTAAGTAAAATGGTACCAAGTTCCTGTCAGACTAATAACTGGAAAAGCTGTCCAAGAGTGCCACCTTGAGGGAAAATTTAAGACAATGCATTTTGAAAACAAAATTGGCATAAAGGGTTTCAGCGTTGCCCATCACAGTTACCCCAACTAAAGAACATCACTGTAAATTATTATAGTACAAGTGAAGAGATAAGCACGGTCTTTCAACTCAGATCCTATTATATTCTTCTGTCTTTTCATATCAGTATTCCACGTGTATTTCATTTGAACGTGCCTCCTGGATGAGATATTATTTTAATGGAGAAAGGTATTCTTAGAGTCACTGGTATGTGAAGAAAGGATTCCTCTCTTTTTTTCTACTCTTTCTGGTGGTTCCTTTCTCTGTCTTCAGTCTTCCTACTTACTCTCTTCCTTCTTTTCCTAGCAATACCCCTAAAGTTCTCATGCTCATGATCCCCAGAAATACTTGTGCTTACGTGCGGGCAGGCAGTGTGTGGGTATGTGTCGGGGATATGGTTGGAGAGCTGGAGGGAATAGAATATGACATTCTCATATGCTCTTAAAATATTAATAACCAATTAGCTTTAATGTGTTACTTTTCCTTGCATTTCCTGCATTTTATGATACATTTCCCTGCATTTCAAAGAACAAAATTTATGACCAAGACATAGATTTCTAGATGTGGCTAAGTAAAAACTACTGACTTAGATCAAGATCATCCCCTCCCATGGTTCTCCAAAGCCCAGGGCCTGTTTATACCTCTGAAACCTTACAGTGTATTTGGCCCAAAGACCCAATGTATACATTACACACACACGGACACACACACACACACACACACACACACACACAGTGAAGATTCTAGGTCAAGCTAGGTTTCTTCATCTAAATTTGATTTCTTCACTAGACCTTTAGAGAGTGATAGCGTTGCAAGGAAAATATAAAAATTACATAGAACAGTACTTACTGAGAAAGACTGATAGGGTACCTGCTACAGCTCATGAAACGTTTCTCCTAAGACTGCATCTCTCCTCCTGGCTTCAAACCCTTTCAGGCCAAATATTTTAGGGAGGTCTCCGAAACTCCTCATGTTTCCGATGGAGAGCAACCTTCTCTCTGGCTTCTGCATCACTTACAACAGGATCTACAGGAGAGTGGAGGGCCTGTCTCACAGAGCCATTCTTCTAGTTTTAACTGAAACCTGGCTATCATCTCTAAATAACTATTTTTCTCTCCACACCCATTTATCTGTGGGTCTGTGTGTGGGACGTGCTTTCCTTGCTCCTCACTGTATACAGCAGAGCACTGTTCTTTCTTCCTAAAAATAACCTCAGTTCTTTGGATGCACAGGCCATCAGATGATGCAAGTTTAGCAGGAATCAGTATAGCGCCCTGGTTAAGAGGGCATGTTCTGGAGCCACATTTCCTGTTTGTAAACTGTTTCAATTCCCTATGTCTTATTTTCCTTGTCAGTAAAAATGGGGATCATAATAGCATTTGCCTTAGGGCATCTCTATGAGGCTTAAATAAATTCATGTTCAAAATTTAGACTGGTGCCTGTCACATAGCACTTCATAAGTGTTGGCCACTGTCACCACCTGCTTCTCAGCCATATGGTAGTTTAGTTTACTGTGTAATTTGTTTGCATCACATTATTCTGTATGAAATGCTTTCTGCAATGTCTCCACAGGTTTCCATACAAATAATCTCCAATGTGAATTTCTCCATGAAGTATGTCTTTGTCCCTTCTGCCAGATGTGATTTCTATTCTCAAGTAAACACCCTAGCTCTTATATTCTTCCTCAGTGATAATCAATCATGTTGTACTTTGCATTAGTTAGCCCCCATTAGGTGAGTTCATCTTGTCTGGAGTAGGTCACTTTTGTGTTTCTTGATACCATGTTTTTCACACAAGGTTCCCTCAAGTTGTCATTGCATTTAATAACAAATACTATGACAGACTTTGTTAGAGTACCATATTAGAAGTTGATATGGTTTGGCTGTGTCCCCAACCAAATCTCATCTTGAATTTTAGCTCCCATAATTCCCAGGTGTCGTGGAAGGGACCCAGTGGGAGGTAACTGAATCATGGGGGTGGGTCTTTCCCATACCGTTCTCCTGGTAGTAAGTCTCACAAGAGCCAATTGTTTTATAAATGGGAGTTGTCCTGCGTAAGCATTCTCTTTACCTGCCACCATGTAAAATGTGACTTTGCTCCTCCTTCACCTTCCACCATGATTGTGAGGCCTCCCCAGCCATGTGGAACTATGAGTCCATTAAACCTCTTTCCTTTATAAATTACCCAGTCTCGGGTATGTCTTTATTGGCAGCATGAGAATGGGCTAATACAGAAGTCCATATTCCAAAAACTTACTCTTGCCACCTAAACTATTTTCAGGAACTCTCCGTTTTAGTTTCTCAAAACCAAAAGTAATACCCACAACTTCCTTATCTAATAAACAGACTACACATAACACATGTTAACTACAATCAAGACAAGGTTCCTAGGCAGGTCATGGCAGAGGAGCTTTTATTATATTAGCTTTCCTCTAGATTGACTCATTTAAAAGGGGAAAAAAATCTTTTTGGAAACATTGAAGAGTAGACAAAAGAAGGCAGGAACTGGATGGACTCAGTTGAAAGATCTCACTGGGTGCGATCCATGTTTATATGACTTTTCCCTCAGAGGGCACACCCTAGTTAGAAAGGTACAATATGATTGGTTTGAGGTGTGAAAGGGCGGAATTCAGGACTGCTAGAGTAGCTGTGAATTAGGAGAAATCTCAGAAAAGAGGGAGTCACAGAAGAAGGGAATCCCAAAATCTGTGTATAAGTCCTGGGCTGACCTCTGAGCTGCATATGATGGGAGAAACTCGAAGACACCCAATGGAAAGTAAGAGCTGGAAGTCTGCAAACACAGAGTAGGGACCACTTTCTTTTTTTCACCACAAGACCCAAAGACTGGGGCTTGAACCCTGCCAAGTTTAGATGTGTTTGGTAAATACTCTGAGCTTCCTACAGACCTAGCCTAAAAAAGAAACCCAAGCCCCCACAAGTTCAAGGTGATCAGCCAGTAATTTAACTGCTTTCTATTATTATGAGAATAAAAGGAAGATTATACAGACACCCAGGCTAGTTATGAGCACACATCACAGGTGTTTAAAAAGATTTGGTTCTATTTTAAAATGACTAATAAAGCTTAGGATTAGGTAGGTGGTAGACAGGGGAAAATGGCTAACTGGACAGTGTGAGGGAAATACAAAGCTTCTAATACTTGGCTTAGGATAAGAAAATGTGTTAGATATAATACATTATAAAATATTATCAAACATGAATTTATTTAGAAATGAAATAAAAACATGCTATTTGAACAAACTTTTTTTATAAAGAATAAGTTGACTGAAAAGCAGTTTTAAATAACATGAACTCACAAATGACTTTTAGAAGCCAAATAAACATTTCCATTTTAGAGAACAGTATGTAATACATAACTTAAAAGCATATAGAACACATATTCATACATTCTTAAAAATAAGAGATTGTTATTCCACAGAGAATTTTTCAAAAATCTAAAGTATGTCCTGTTTAACCAACAATTTGCTTCCAAATAGGAGTCTCTTTTGAGAAGCTAAATATTAATTTTCAAACAACTATTTCTCCATTTGGTAACTGGAATCATTCATATTAAAACAAAGGTCTTTATGTCAATGTATATTAATATGGCTGAAGGCTCCAGCCCTGAGTTATTTTTTTTACTTCCTTAAATTCATATTTACAACATATATCAATTTGAGGTATGATGACAAAAACAGAAACAAAAGACACAATGGTAGATGAGAATCTATCTCCTTGTGGAAGAGGCAAAATTAGTGTGGACTTCATTTTTCTGACCTATAAAACTAGGAAGTATAATCACATTATCTGTGACAATTTTTCCTTCTAAAATGCCATGAATTTGAAGATAGACTTCATGCCTTTCTCCATCATATCAATAGAGTTAAGAATATTGATTTTGGAGTCAGGCTGCCTGGTTATGAATCCCAGCTCAGACAGCTATTTTGTAATCTTGGAAAAAATACTTCACCTCTCTATACTAAGTTTCCCCATGTGTACGGTACTGATCTCATAGAGTTGTTATGAGACTAACATGGGTAAATCACTTTATAACAGTGGCTGATACAATGTTACACGAGTTTTCAAATGAGATATCATCACTCATTGTTTGTGGGAAAAGATTCTAACTATGTCATATGAATGAAGTATGCCATATGAAAAGATCATATCATATGGGAAGATATATTAGGTTAAATTGTCTAATGATTACAAAACACAAAGTGAGGTTTTTGTTTTGTTTTGTTTTTACCTGTATCTTAGCTTCATACAACTCAGGAAACATTTGAATAACATTATGATAAATAGATATAAATGATTATAAAAAATAAAAGAGTTTAATTCAGACTAATAAAAGTTTAATTACAACACTTGGAAATGTAGCACAATATCTCCACCTAGTGGACACCACCTTAAAAATTTTTACAGATACTGCTCAGCCTTTTTTTATCACTGGGGGAAAACTTCAAAGAGAAGTAATTTCACTAATATAGAGGGATAAAAAATAGAAAATAAGTTAAACACTATATTACTAGTGCTCCAAAACATCATCGCTAAAATACCTTTTAGTAAGTTGTATAACTCAAATGTTTTTCTAAAACAGGGTAACAGAATTAAATAGTAGTTTTGGTTTAGAAACTTAAAATGTATCAAAGACAGCATGTAAGTCATCAGAAATACTTGACCATGACTCAGCAATTAATTTTTAAAAAATTAGCTGTAACAAAATTAAGAATTTAAAAATCACAGAGCTTTAAAGATGTCAGATACCTTTAAAAGACATTTTACCTACTTGCTATCTAACTCTTCTGAAGTATCTTTGATAAATAGAAATCTTATCTCCAATGAATGAGAATCTTACTTTTTTCCTGGGCTTGTTTCTCTAAAAAGACTAAACAATTAGAAAAGTTATGCTTTTCATAATTTGCAATCTAATTGTTGACTTCTGATTTACACTTCAGGCAATACAGAATTAAGTCCAATCTTTCAAATAATTATTCTTCAAGAGAGCTTATCAAGTGATAGAATTTCCACTTATCCAAATTAAACATCCCACATACTTTTAGCCATTTGTCTTACAACAAAATTATAAGGAGTTATCATGTTGTTCATGCTCTTTTGAACAGTTTGTAGCATTTTAAAAAATGACTATATCCAGTACAAAAATAACATGCCATGAATGGTCTGGAAACTGCAGAGAGCAAACATGGATTTTCACCTCTCTCTCCATATACTACTTCTTTTGATTAAAAAAAAATTAATTTAAATAAACTTTTCATAGTGAGGCAGAATATGATGGTCAAAAACTCACAGGCTTGGGAGTCATACCAATCTATGTTCATTTAGTGACAGTGCGGACTTTGGGCAAATCACCTGACCTGCCTGACCTTCAGTTTCTTCAGCAGTCAAATAGAAATCAACATCTACCTCACAGAAATATAAATGTAGCATCAAATGAGACAATATTTGTAAATCAGCTAGTATAATGCCTAAAACATTACAGGTGTTCAATGAATGATGGCAACCATCATTATTATTTTTCCTCCCTTTCTTTTTCATCTTGTATATGCCGTACACACACATATATGGTTCAACTAAACTGAATTAAGTTTCACTGTGAAAAACCAACACATTTAATAATTTTCTCGTTGGAAGCTGGCACAGTGGTTCATGGTAAATCCCAGCACTTTGGTAGGCCAAGGTGGGAGGATCACTTGAGGCAGGTGTTCAAGACCAGCCCACGCAACATACTGACACCCTGTCTCAATTCTTACAAAAAAAAAAAAAGAGGAAATTAATATGTATACACACACACATACATTACATATATACAAATTTGTATATATAAATACATATATGTATGTATTTTCTTTTCCTTGTTAGAAAAATACTGTATCTTTTGGTCTGATGGTGATATGCTGAGATAAAATTTAATTAACATTCAATTCATCAAAAACTTCTCTCTTAAAAAAAGCACAATATACAGATATTATATTGTGACAAAATTTCTTACCCCAGAAATAATTTTTCAAATCCCAAATATTAAATATTAGTTTTGACTCATGGATATATGTTAAAAATATATTCTCAATCTCTATTTTTATTATAATTTTCTCAGTTACGCAAGTTTTTGCATATTGGAAACGTCAGTTGTCAACATTAAATACATAAAAATACCCTATATAAAAAATAATTAACAGCTATTCCTAGAGTGGTAAAATGTAGCCCAACTAAAAAAAAACAAAGTATTTGTAATTAGTTGAAATGTCTTTTACCTTTAAATTCTTTAACCTGTTATTGGTTGAAGTTTAATGATTTTTCTTATTTTAAATAAAAAGCAATTATTTTGAAATTATACCCTATTAAACTTTCCCTTTAAAGTCTTATAACCTCTTAATGGTTGAAAGTTATTTATTTTTCTTATTTTAAATAAACCGTAATTATGTTGAAATCATATCCTATCAAAGAAACAACATATTTACAAGTAAATACGTGTATAAGCATTAAATGCTAGCAGGGGTCTCCAATCTTTTGGCTTCCCTGGGCCATATTGGAAGAAGAACTGTCTGGGGCCACACATAAAATACACGAACACTAATGATAGCTGATGATCAAAAAAAAAAAAAAAAATCATAACAAATCTCATCATGTTTTAGGAAAGTTTACAAATTTGTGTTGGGGGCCGCATTCAAAGCCATCCTGGGCTACATGCGGCCTGTGAGTTGAAAAAACTTTCACTAAAGCAAATAAAAATTTTTAACCCTGGGTCAGAAAATTATGCACAAAAATGTTTAGGATGACTCTTATTATGAAACACGATTTACTTCCTAAAATTAGCCACGGTTATATGGATATTTTTTCTATTCACTTCACTCTATACTAAAAACTTCATTCAGTATATATTTACTCAATATTTATCATATGACATAAATATTATGAGTATATGGCAGGGATGAATCCTTTTTAAAATAAGGTTATACACATACCAATCAGACACTGACTAGAGTTTGGACAAATACTATTCTCATCTGAAATGAGGACTGAAGACTAAACCACTTGCCTTATTGATCCCAGAGCCACAACCAAATATAAAAATCTTAACCCCCATGTTAACTGTTTTTTTCTACAAGCCCATGGTTCCTAAGTCATATTTAAATTTCCATTTAAAAATTTTCAAATTTACATCACAATTCTTACTTGCTTCACTTTTTAATGAAATTCCAATTATTTCAAAGATAATAAATGCTTGCTAACCTAATAAACACAAAATGTATTTCTTCATATGAATAAATATTTTATTTAAAAGTGAGTCCAAAATAACAGTCCACTATTTAGGTGGTATAAATAAAAATGGTAGATCCCTTCCTCTCTCCTCTATTCCAACAATTCTAAGGAAAATAATATCAAGCCAAGTGGCAATTAAGTTCAAACTAGAAATGCATTTCATTAAGCTGTGTATTTATTAGAAATAAATTACACTAGGCTATTTATACAAAGTATTTTATGACTGGCTATGCACATTTCAGAAATAACTCTAAGAAGGCAAAGAAAAGTCCAGACAGCTAAAATAATGTATCTTGCCAAAATGAGATGCTATGTTTAAACTGAGAGATACTATCTTTCCAAATCATTTAAATATAGTCAGACGCAGTTCAAAAGATTTCTGACTATCCATTAATGGAAAACATAAACGTAACAAAATTCACAGCATACCTGAAATCTTACTAATTTACCTAAAGATAACATATCTCTAGAATTTCACAGAAGATAGAATCAGTTCAAAATGATGTATTACTGAACCTATAACGATTTATGGACTAGATCTTTTTATGACACTTTTCAAAACAGACATACTCACAGACTTTAGTAACGGTAACTGTAGGGCTCCATATGCCCTCAAGCAGGGCAACATTTTTTTTCATAATCACCTTATTTTAATCAATTCAGCTAAGTCTAATGTTTAAAAATTCATGAAAAAAAATCCACTCAATAACTCTTAAAAACACAAATATAACTAAGAATATTTCTAAAAGCAAGGATCTAAACACCTAAGAATGGTCTTCTCAGTTGTTTCAAGTGAATGACTTTGAGTTTGGTATCATTTCTTGAACAACTAAAGGCAAAAGGATATGTTGTGCCAAGTTCTTACATAATCATTTTATCTGTTACCTATTTTGGAAAATTCACCAGCAAATGGCCATCTTTGAACTGCCTAGAAAATTTAACCAAGACATTTATCTTAAATTCAAAAGTATTGATAAGCATTCCTGTTTTAAAATAATAAACAGTTGAAAATAGCACCTTTTAATACATGGCATTCTTTTCTTAAAATCCCAAGTACTATATGTATTTTATTAAAAATGTGGAAGATTAATCTGTTTCTCTCTGAATGTAGATTTTCACCAAAACATCTCTTAAAACAGCAGGGACTCAACACTTAAAAATGAACTAGAAGAGCTGGGCACAGTGGCTCACGCCTGTAATCCCAGCACTTTGGGAGGCCGAGACGGGTGTACTACCTGAGGTCAGGAGTTCGAGACCAGCCTAGCCAACATGGTGAAATCCCGTCTCTACTAAAAATAGGAAAAATTAGCCGGGCGTGGTGGCAGGTGCCTATAATCCCAGCTACTCGGGAGGCTGAGGCAGGAGAATTGCTTGAACCCGGGAGGTGGAGGTTTCAGTGAGCCGAGATCAAGCCATTGCACTCCAGCCTGGGGGACAAGAGTGAGACTTCTCCTCAAAAAAAAAAAAAAAAAAAAAAAAAAAAATCTAGAACAGTGATCCCTCCAAAGAGCAGTCTTCTTTAATTACAGGGTAGAATATTTTCCTCAATTTTGCCAGACTAGATCAGAGTGGAAGCTTCTCCTCTCAGAAGTATTCCTAAATACAAAATCCTTGCATTAATATTATCAGACAAAAAGTTATTTTCCCTAAATTATACATTCTTTTTTCAATTTTGACTTCTCGGATTTAGTTCTCTATTATAGTAAATTAATGACAAAAGTATAATTTCTCTGAGTGTCCTCTCTCGTCTAATTTTTAAAAAGTCTGGGTAAAACACGTTTTTCTACAATCACTGTTATAACTAATGCAACTCTATTTTCTGAGTACTAGAGTACAACCAAAAAACGGTCTGTATTTATCATTCAAATTATACTTGTGATTTTCACCTACACACAATTTTATATTTGTAAATGTAGAATCATTACTTAAAACTCAGAGAAACAAAATTTGACATTGAGGGGAAAGTAATTTGTTCACTTATAGCTACTTTTAAAGTTTGGAAACATAAAATTATGTTAAAAGAAGTGTTCTATTCATAATTCTAAGTTTACATGTCAAATTTAACATGCCCAAATAATACTTTCCTATAATGGAATGACAACCCAAAAAATACACTCAAAATAATAAACACAAAATTCAAAAAGTAACACAAAATAATCCTACCCCAGCAGTTGTTCCCTAATCTACAAAATAAGGTCAGACCAAATGATTTCTTAACTTTCAATTCTGACATTTTTTTAAATAGATAATGGAATCAAACACTAGTCACCTTTAGCTTTATATTACCTCAGAAGTCACTTACTTTTTAACCTCTCAGTAAAGATACTGAGAGTTATTTAAAAGGTATCGGCTAAGATATTATCTCCTGATCCAACAATCCCACTTCTGGGCATTTATCCAGAAGACTTGAAATCCGTATGTCAAAGAGAAGTCTGCACTCCACGTTCACTGCAGACAAGTCACAATTATCAAGTTATTCAATCAACCTAAATGTCCATCAATGGATGCATGGATAAAGAAAATGTGGCATATATACACAATAAAATACTATTTGGCCTTTAAAAAGGTAGAAATTGTGTCATTTGCAACAATATGGATGAACCTGGAGGACATTATGGTAAGTGAAATAAGCCAAGCACAGAAAGACAAATACCACATGATCTCACTTATTTGTGTAATCTAAAACAATTAAACTCACAGAAGTAGAGAGAAGAATGATGGTTGCTAGAGGCCGGGGATGTGGGAATGGGGAGATGATAATCAAAAGATACAAAGCCTCAATTAGATAGAAGGAGCATGTTTGACTTTTTTTAGATCTATTACACAACATGGTGAATACAGCTAATAATTAAGCACTGTACATTTCAATACTGCTGAGAGTAAATTTCAAATGTTTTCATCACAAAATATGTCAAATATTTGAGGTGATGGATAGATTAGCTTTATTTAATCCCACATTATATTCAAAAATCATAATGCCACTTTGTTTCTCATAAGTATATACAACTATAATTTGATATATAATAAAAAAAATCTAAAAAGGTAGTCTCCTAACAATCATATGAAGACTATCCTAAAATGTCCTTTAGTAACTGTCATGGACTGAAAAGTATCCCACGAAGAGACAATGTCTACTCAGATCATGTGAATACAAACTTACTTGGAACATGGGTCTTTGTAAACATAATTAAGGGTCTCCAGACACAATCACCCTAGATCAGGGTGGGCCCTACATTCAAAGACACTGTCCTTAAAAGGTAATGAAGAGAAGACAGAGGGAAAGGCCGTGTGAACACAGAGGCAGAGACTGGAGTGAAGATTGCTGTCTGCAATACTTGGACAAGATTTGTCCAGAAGCCAAAGAACTCCAAGAATTGCACACAGCCACAAGATATTAGGAAACAGACATAGAATGTCTGTTTATGGATTCTTCCTTAGAGCCTCCAGAAGGAACCAACTCTGCTGACACTTTGATTTTAGACTTCTGGCCTCCAGACTGTGAGGAAAATTGTTGTAAGCACCCAAGTTTGTCGTCATTTGTTATGGAAGCCCTGGGAAGCTAATACAATATGTATTTCAGAAAGGAAATCCCCCTTTTAAAGGATTATAATCAATACAATTTGTCTTTGGCCATCATACATTTCATATTAGGAATTAGTGAAAGAGCTTCATCATTTCTAGATTGTAAACAATAACCAACAATTTGATGTCTAGACAGGCATATATGAGTCTCTACTTTATCATTTACTATCTATGCATTTGTATTTTGACTTAGAATTAAAATTATATTACTGAAATGTTAAGCAACTTTTCAATCAAGAATATCACCTGACCATTTGTAAATATTTGCTAATACATTGTTATTAGGTTGGTAAAAAAGTAATTGTGGTTTTGCCATTACTTTCAATGGCAAAAACCACAATTACTTTTGCACTAACCTAATATTTCTCTCTGAAGAGAATAAATTCATTCCAGTAATATGAAGCATACCCAGTTTTAATAAACTTGTACATACAAAACATTCCCAAGCTTTTTAAGGGGCCAACATTATGAGAGTGATATGAGATATCTGAAAACAATTTTATTTTTCCATTTTTCAGGCTTTTGAAGCAGGTCTTAAGCTTTCTCAGTTCTTTGCCACTTAATTTCTTACATATGTTTAAAATATATATAAAAAAAACTAATGTAATTTGAAGACCACCACTGCACCTAAAAGAAATTCCATGTTTTCCACCTATTCAGTTGTTCTTTGTAGAAATGGTCTAATTATTAAGTCCATTTTCACAGTTCGAAATATCACTGATATTACCACATAAACCTTTGAATGTCCTGACTATTTGGCCACTGAAAAGTCTTGTTCAGAAAGATGAAAAAAGTTATGAAATTAACAACTGCATAGCAGCTCAGTTCACAAATGAGTCTGGATGTGGGAGGCAGAGGTATGTTAAGCCTATAAATGACATAAGGTAAAATGAAGTAACGAAATTCCAGCAGTTTCTGAGGAACTATAACAGTGAACAAGCATATGAAAAACATTAAATTCCAAAAAATTGACTTTGATTTCAATGAGTCAGCTATACTCCAACCAGCAAATATATAGGCTGGAACTAACAAATATTTTACAGTTTCATATCTTTGAAAAACTCTTTTCCACACATAGAAAGTATAATGTCTATTGTCTGCTAGCAAGTATTTATGAGCATAAGTGAATTTCCAAACTAAAAACACAGAGACTAAGGTAACCACAAAAAACAGAATTCTACGTTTCCAAACTAAGGAAAGAAAAGTCTTAATTTTGCTAGGAGACAGGAGATGAGGAAAGGAAAAAAAGAGAGTAAATGAAAAAAAGTAGAATAGTTGAGGAAAATGAAGACAGGCTTCATGACTACTCCGATCGCCAATAACAATTCCACCATTAACTACTACAAAAGCACAAAACAGAAATCCCAGAAGGATGTAGGGCCAAGTCAGAAGCAAAAGCATACTCAAGTTTTTAAAGGACATGGAATAAGCCAAAAGAAACTGAAGAATTTTTCTGAATTCTGCAAATGGTCCTTTAATAGGTGGAAGTCTGTCTTCCTTCTTTTGTAGCTCAGTTTTCCAAGCCTCCGTTAACTTTTGTGCAATGACATTTCCTGCACAGAAGACAGCCCAGATGATATTTGTTTGCCGAAACATGAAGCCACAAAATCCAAGGAAGGCTGAAGTTTTATGATTTCCATAAAGACACATCAAATACGCAAAAAGAGTAAAAAACATAGATCCTGCTTCTGTATAATAAAGGAAGTTAAAAAAATAAAGTGTTGGAAATACTGCTAGTGTTAATGTTGACAAGACTCTCTGGATACTTGAGGCAGCCTTGGAGGAAGAAGAAACACAGATAAAATTATTTTCATGACAAAAAATGCTATTTCTGCTTACCTAATGAAGAAATTTATTTAAAAACTACTCAACTACTCAAACCTTCTTTAAATAAAATTAATCAATATTAATCTTATCTCTGGCTTTGCAAAAACACAATATACATTTATAAGAACACTTCCTGGTACTTTTTATGTATACCTATCAGTTTGGAGACCATGTGTATGCCAAATCTTCTATAGCTTAACACAATTGGAATCAGGCAATGATTAGTTAAGGAGTTATTGAGTGCAAGATACTAACTAAGTTCTATGTGGACTATGGAGATAAATAGGACACGGTGCTGGCTCCATTTCCCTGAGCTTATGTTTTAGTGCCTTCAGTAAGGATTCACTTAGCCATAATGAACCACTTTCCTTTAAGGAAATCCTTCATAACTCTACACAAGGGAGAATATAAACATGCATATGGTATACTACCATACCCAGACTTACTTTTTCAAGATGAAATTTTCATGATGAAATAACAGGTATTTTTCTGAAAAGTGAGCCTGTCTAAAGTTATATATCTTCTTTTGGCCTTTCTGACATGCTGTTTCAGAATTTGAAAGTGTTCTTATGTTCTTGAATTGTATACTCCACTTAATCTAAATCACCAAATCAGACCATGCCATTTCCTTGATTAAAATTAAGGTCTTTACATTACATGCTAAAGTTCAAAGTCCTCTCTGTGACACATAAGGGCATTCATGACCTACTTCTCTAGCCTTACATCCCTCTACTTTTTAATCCTGTAATTCCAAGACCAATTCCCTGCAACTCGTTGTTCAATGCCTTTCTTCCTTTTCTTATGTTGTTTGTCTCCCCAGGATTAATTCCCCACCCTACACAGCCCTATCCGTTCATCAAGACTCAGCTCTGGTACCATCTTCTCTGTGAGGACTTACCAAATGCCACATACTCCCCTCCCTCCCAGAAAAGCAGTAAGTGTTCCCCTGCTCCTTCTCTGTATCCTCATAGCATCTTATGTTTACCACTCTATCATAACTGACACTACTGAAATCATCTCTTAAGGTTAAAAATAATTATTAGAGTTAATATTTACTGAACCCTTACTATATCTCTGGCACTGTTCGAAGCATCTTCCATTTATTAAGTTTCTTTGTTCCTTTATAACAGTTCTATAAGGCAGATTCTATTGTTATTCTTATTTAATACATGAAGACATGGAGCCACTAAGGGTTAACCTGTCCATGGTAACAAAACTGGTTAAGTGGCAGGGAGAGAATTCTAACCCAGGCAATCTACCTCCAGGGCCTGCACTGTTATCACATCAAAAGTCCTCAGGTAAAGTCTGTTTTCCCTAATGAATATATACGTTTTACAAGAAAAAGACTGCCTCATTTATCTCTGTAGTCCCAGTCCCTAGCACATGGAATAAGTTCAGTAAGTATTTATTGAACTGGTTTGACTCACTTAACAAATATTTACTTCAGATTTTACAAATAAGTTATTCAAGTATTTAAATACGAATTTATTCTAAAATGGAGATGGAGGATTTAAATTTACCTTTACATAATATACAAAAATACAAAGTTACAAAGTGTTAAAGACATTTTTCACCAAATCTCATAAAACTAATTCATTGTAATTGTGGACCTGACTACACATAAACTTGTAATTAAGTATTTTGAAACATACCTTGTTTCTGGGTTGTACCTTGCAGAAAAGCAAATATAGTAAATAGAAGTTGCCAACACTGAAGAGAAGATTAACAAATCTGAGCATCCCAATGGAGCAGACAACATGTTCAGACCATCCAAAGATCCAAATGGCAGGTTTGATCACTCCAATTGACACCAGGTACAAGCCAGGTAATGTAGTAATCATGGGATCCCACTTTAAAATGAAAGAAAATGAAGTAAAAGCAAGAGGTAATAGGAACAAGACAGGCACAAATATGTCAAGCCCAAGTCTCATCTCCAGCAACAATCAGAAATTTTGAGAAGTTATTCTATGACAAGATTAAGTAAGTCCTTGGCAGAACAGGATTCGTTTTTCTTATTTTTTGCCCCCGGACCAGCTTAGTGATGGTTCAGGTAGCAGCAACCAATAAACAACAACAACTTAAAATCTATTTCTATTTTCCAAGAAATGTTCTTTAAAAGCCTTTATTTTGATAAATAAACTGCAAATGTTCCAGTTTTTAAAAGCATGGAAACATTGTTTGGGACTCTTAAGTTTAGGAAAACATTTGGACCACAGGCTCCATGATGACAGCTAACATAAACTGAGACAGAAATTGTTGCCAAACCCTCTGTATTAACGTTACAATATGCCCTATAGTAAAGATTATTGTCATTTTGCAGATGAGTAACCTGAATTTCTGAAACTCAGAACATCTCCAAGATCACAAAACTAGTAAATCACAGCACCAAGATTTAAGATCAGATCTTTCTCTAAAACAGACTTTATATTTCTAGCCAGTACCCTATATTGTGTCACCAGAGAAGCAGGGGATGCTTATTTTGATATTTATATGTACATACTTGCACAGTCAAATATATACTCAAAAATGATGTGACTTGACTGGTTGCCAGTTTATCCAGTTAACAGTTCACTAAAAATACCCAGGGAAGGAATTTGTGATTATAAATTGTCACTTTTTGGTAGCTGAAGATCCCTCCAGTCCACCCTATCCCACCCCTAAAATGCACAGTGAGGTGCTTGACAGGTGAGCTAAAGGAAAGTTTTCTGGTATTTCCAAGGAGCACCCGAATGCCTTTAATCCTAAAACAAGGAAAGACAAAGTGGGATCGATATCGTCAGCTGCCAAGAGGAGGGCTCAGTTCCCCGTTGAGTATTCTCCCAGATCACTCCTTCCTGGAGGACAGATCTGCTGTTTATTCATTCATTTAATAAATATTTCACAGATCTCAGAGACAGGAACAAAAGACTATACCCAGTTTCTTTCATGTTCTGAGGCTTGAGGGGGTGGAACAGGACGAGTGAAGTCTAAGGATGGGAGGACGTGGGGACGCTGGGACCTCTCAGGCCTCTCCTGGGGTGGGGACAGGTTGGGGACCCCACCTGGGAAAGGGAGAAATGGCCCTCACAGTAGCGCTGCGCCTGAGGCAGGTGGAAGATCTCGTCCATGTAGGGCTCTCGCAACGCCCGGCTGAAGGCGGAGAAGAGGAGGCAGGATACTAAAAAGGTACAGCTCAAGGCGGCCGAGAAATAGTAACCTTCCAGCTGCGCCATTCCAGCTCCCACAGCCACTGCCCAAGAACCTACTCCTGGAAAATTCTGAGCCTGGAAACCCGAGCTGGAAACTTGGGCTCGAAATGGGCGCGCTAGGCGGGACTAGCCAGACGGGGCCACATACCGGAAGGCAAAGGATGCTGGGAGAGCGCGGATCCGGAAAGATCGGGTCGCTGTTTCCCGGAGTGACGGGTTTAGATAACGGACCGGATGATTACCCTCTCAATCGCATTGCCCGGGGCGCACAAAGTGTCAAAACTTCCGGAAGGGGCGGGTCTCGGATTTCGCCAGCGCGGGAGGTGCGTGGCTTGCTGCTTAGAAAAAAAAAAAAAAAAAAAAAAAAAAAAAAGCCGCTTCTTAGCTTGGATCTTTTTTCCTGCTCACTTCCATCACTTACCAGAAGGTGGCGACGTTTCCCCACGTTTCCAATTCCAAGCCCTAAAATGGACACATTTTTTCCCCCGTTATTTCTGTTATTTCTCTCCAGTGATCCGAATTAATTAAACCCTCAATTCCAAGACATTTCATTCCATCAACTTTGGAGTGTAGGAAGGGTGCGTTGGTTGTGATAGCAAAGACTGAGAGTTTTAGATGAAAACTTGAAGAACCAGAGACCCGTCAATGCCGAATGAACTTCAGTGAGAGGAGTGTTTGTTCGTTTGTTTGTTTAGGTTAAAAGAGAACTCTTTCAAAATGTGGATGCTCTCAGAGGATTTAGTTAAATTGACATTCCTAGTGCACTTTCATAGTCATATTACCCTGTAGGATTTGGAAAATACATATATATTTTAGAATTCGGGATGTTTTAGGTGTGCCTGTAAATTTGGTTGTTAATATCTGTAAGGCAGCCTTCTGTTTTTCCTACTAAATCATAAGCGTGAACATCTTAGTGGGTGGCATTATACATCCTTTATGTTTGTAGTCCCCAAAATGGCTTTCACACAGTAGGCACTTAAATTTGTGGACTTTTATAGGCTGTGTAGACATCATCAAATTCCTGTATTCTGGGATTAGGTGCTGGGGGCAGGAGATGAGGTAAATAATTTGAAGAATGCCGAAGATAAATTATGTGTTGTAATTTTGTCTTGAGCATGGTTGGCCATGTTTTGTAGAAAAACTATTTCTCAGGTAACCTCAATCAGGTTGCCTTTGGCAGGAATATATCAGAATTTAGGCGGGATTTAAGGTTGCAAACCTCAGAGTTCTCAATTGAGCTCTTTTTCTGGGTTAAAACTAATTCAGTATTTCTAAACTTAAGAAAGTTTCTTAAATTAAGCTGACTGCCTTTCCATTCTGTCTCTGCCTGTTTCCTCAATGATAAGAGGAAGTAGTGGTGAATGAGGGCTGGGATGGGAACATTTACATTACTGGAATAAAGTCATGTGAGGATCCTACTCTGATGTGATGCTTAGCTTTGTTTTAACCATTATCTCCCATTTTATTGTTGAGTCCATGCTGTACTTATCTGTTTAAGTCACTTGTAACACATCTCCAGATGATTCAGTCTTCAAGAGGTTGATGTGATCTACAAGTAATTAGCTCCTGACCTGTTGACCTGCTAAATCGTGTTATATATACTCTGCAGCTTACTGACCCACCCTAGAAATAGTGGGTCGTTTTTAAAGGGAGTAGAACAAGACTAGACATTTATGCTCTCCATTTTTCTTCATAACAATTGCCACCAATAGTTTATGTTAAACATTTGACTCCTATACATGCTGCACACATCCCTTTACATAAAATGGAAAGTTTCAAGGAAATATGGGGTTCTAGAATGGGTAGGGATCTTTATTAATAATCTACTTGACTTCATGTTATAAAAGAAGTTGGTTTTAAAAAAATGAATGATTTACCTAAAATTACATAAAAAATTAGTGTCAGAACCAAGTGTAGGAATTAGAAAATCAGACCAAGAGTAATAAAATAACTTCATAGCCTTATAGGTTAAAATAATCTACAATGTATACTGAACTGAATGTTTCACTAGTCCCAATAACTTTACATTTACATTCCACTCTCCTCTGTTTCCATACACCAAGTTGAAATACAAGTTTCATCTTTTAAAAAAATGTTCATGTTACAGACTAATTACATCAAAATCTGCTGGGGGAACATTGTGAAAAACTAGATTGTAGAGAGCCATCTCAAATCACTGAATAATAATCTTCATATTTGGAAACGATTGATGTAAAACATATTACCTGAGAATGCTAAGAAGCTCCATGGGCCCAGTAGAGTTCTTTGTAGAGTACTTCACTCGTTTGTTAGTTATTTTTACTATCTGCAAATCGATGAAGCTGTTGTCACTTTTCTACTCTTAGATTACAACATCTTTGATAATCTTGAAATGCTTTCCAAAGCTCTGCTCCTAAATCAAGACCTATTAAAATAGCTACCTCTGGGGTTTTAATGAAATAGATTACATATTATTAGACCTATCATTTAAAACTAGATCAGCATTAATTTCAACTTACATTTTCCATTCAGAATTCCAACTGCCATTTTCCATAGATGTTTGTGAAAAAGAGTCATTAGGATGAGCAATCCCATTGTCATTGCACATCAACTATTTATTTGTGCTACTTGAATTATGATAAGTAAGTTATGGCAGAAAAATGGGCAATTTCTGTTGGGGTTCTAAGGATAGGTTGTTTTAGCAAGAAATAAATCTTTTTTGTTTATAAGCCATTAAGATTTTGACTTTATTTCTCCTGTATAACCTAGCTTACTTTGATCAATTAAGACATTCCTAATTTGATGAACTCGCATAACATTGCATATACTTAACTGTTTGAAACAGCCATATCTGAACAGTGAATTTCCCCAAAGGCTGTAACTGTAATAACTTTGAAGTATTAGTCCAAGAAACACCCTGCCTCTTATTGCACCCCTTTTCACTTGTTGCTGAATGAAAACATTGGCCACTTGCTAATCAGAGTGACGGTTTACTCCTTTCTAGGTGACAATTCGTTCTAGCTACAGCAGAGTACTGCACCCTGGGCCAAAAATCACAGATGATAAGCTCTAAAATGCAACTATACCCTTGAGGTCAATCTTAACATATCAATTTAAAATCTATATTTTAAAATTAATGAATCAATTAAAAAAAACACACACATTTTAGTACAAAAGCATTAGCAAGTATTTTAGCTCTACTGAAAATGTCTTGAAGACATTGTATAGGGGACTGGTTAAACCTAAGTAACACACACACGGAGAGACCCTTCTAAAAAACAATAATATTTATTTGGGATTGAGCATTACAGTTAGAATACAATGAACATAGGGAGGTAAAAGAAGACAAGGGATTTTAAAAGAAAAATGAAGAGGGTTACATAAATTGCTTTGAGACAATTATCCTTGGTTACAAGGACTGGTAGAAAGGGTGGCACCAGTTTGAGGTTGGACAGGCAGTTGCTGGGCAAATGTCCTCACAGAAGTAATTTTTTGTGAGATTGTGGTGGCCTTTGTGCAAAGTTGTGGTTTGTGCAGTCTTTTGTCGTAGTTCCTGTTGTCAGGCATACACGCATATAAACCCTCCCTTTCTGGTCTTCCTTAGCTCCATTTTTCAGGGTTTTTATGCAAGTGGCCCCATTTTGATTCTGATAACTTTCATAGAACAAATCTTTCTGGTTTGTGGCAGACTTTCCAGTTTTACCCTTGAAAGTCTCAGGCCAGGTAAATTCTGTAGTATCAGACAAAGAGAATGGTTGGTGATATGGTTTGGCTATGTCCCCACCCAAAATCTCACCTTGAATTATAATCCCCATAATCTCCATGATCCCCATGTGTCAACAGAGAGACCAGATGGAGGTAATTGAATCCTTGGGGCAGTTTCCCCGGTGCTGTTGTCATGATACTGAGTGCGTTCTCATCTGATGGTATTGTAAGTGTTTGATAGTTCCTCCTGCATTCATTCTCCTTCCTGCCATCTTGTAAAGAAGGTGCCTTGCTTCCCCTTCGCCTTCCGCCATGATTGTAAGTTTCCTAGGCCTCCCCAGCCATGCTGAACTGTGAGTCAGTTAAACCTCTTTCCTTTATAAATTACCCAGTCTTCAGCAGTTCTTTATAGCAGTGTGAAAAAGGACTAATACACTTGGTCATTTAGAAAGATATACCATACAACCCAAAGCAAAACTTCCTAAATATTTTTTTATAACAGTGGTTCCTAAAGTACCACAGCATTAGTATCACCTGGGAACCTGTTAGAAGTGCAAATAATCAAGTCTTGCCTTAGACCTACCGGAAAACAAATCTGATAGCAGAGGGAGCCAAGTAATACGTGTTTTAACATTCATTTTGTAATCAATTATGATTCCCTTAGATTACCAAGTGGACCTGATGGACCTGAAAGTTTGAGAATACTGCTGTCCTCTACATTTCCCTTGCTTTTCTGATCACTCATGCTGCTTTGTCCCCTGGCTTCTCTGATTCTTCATCTCCAGGCTTCACCCTACCAAGAAACAAAGTTCATTGCCAATGAACATATAGACGATGTTCCTCCTCAGCAGCTGAAGAAGAGGAACTTAAATACTTACAATTTAATGGCTTTTAGTTACATATATTTATATTCAGACAGATGTCTTTTCTTTCAAAAGACTATGTGAAGGGGAACTTTGCTTTTTGCTAAAATAAGCAGCTGAAACACCATAGTCCTACAGCTATTGCTGCCAGTTAGATAAGAAACATTCTAGGAAAAGAAAGAGAATCATAAATTGATTATTAAATGAACTGGGCTATTATACTGATGAAATTACAGTACTATTAAATCAACCAAAGTAAAAAGTTAGAAGAGAAGACATTGAATTAACTTTAATTCTTAAATAATTTCACAGTTTAAGAGACGCAGTAATATGATCTTACTAATTTTAAAATTTCAGACGTTAGAGTGAGATTTATGATACAATTGTTATTACTGAAAAGAGGGAGGTTTTGTGAAATATTGAGGAGGGTTTCTGGTTAATTCCCTTTTGGCTTTAGAAGCAGAGTAAAACAAGTGGGCATCCTTATGAGCATTAGGTACCCTGCACTGGCTATAAGTTCGGCATACATTCAGAATATTACTCTTCAAACATGTGCATGTTCTCAATTTATTGAGAATGGAGATCATCTGACTTTTCATTAATTAAATTTAAATGCAGAAACCCTCATAGAGATTTTATTTTCACCAGACAAAGCAGAAACATTGAATCAGTAGTTTCTGTTCTCCTGTGGTTCCTGTTCTTTCTAGATTTCCTTTCGTTTTTGCTTCATTTTGGGTTGGTTTTCTGAATGAGGCAACAAACTGTATTAAATGATTTACATTTATTTACTATAATAAAATGAAACACTACACTGTTTTTTTACTGCCTCCAAATGTTAGTTTCTGTAACTGCCAAATTTCAATGACTGGAAAAATGTGTGAGAAAGGTCTCTGCATTTAAAAACTTGCTTTTAAAAAAAAACATATTTCCGCTAGAGGGTGTTGACAACTTCAACAGAATCAGGACCAATTTGTTACTTTTGCTACCAGTTAGGTTTTAGTTTGTTTACTGATTCCAGTTATGTTTTAGTTTATGTTTACTGATTGTAGTCATGTTTACCCATCAGCACTCAAATATCCGCCCAATGCGACTGCCACTCAGGATGGCTATGTTTGTAATTTTTTAAAGTTCATTATGTACAATATTAACAATTCATTACTATTATTTTTGGTAGTGAAAATGTCTTACGATAGTCATGTCATCATGCAAAAAAATATTGGGAGCAGGTGAGAAACCAGACTCTGATGGAGATACAGGCACACATGGGTTGATTGGCTGCCTCTGGGGAATGAACAACACGCTGCACACTTGTCTGGGCCCTTCAATCATGTGAAGAAAAAGCCTTAGTTCTCTGAGGAAGGTGAGATAGTTCCACCCCAGGAGGCAGCCAAAGATCCTGGAGAAGGGAGAGAAGGAAAAATCTTTTGCCCTCAATGGAGTAGCAGGAAGGTCTTCAGGCCTCCATCCTTCAGTAATTCAAAGCAGAGGTATGGTGCTCCTAGTGGAGAGGTAGCGAACACTCCCTGGCTCTAAAACTGCCACACGTGCAAGGCACAGTTTGGCTACTATAGTAGGGAGGAACAGGAACAACTTGAAAGCCCTCCATTCCCCCTCTCAGGTAGGGCCTCAAGAAGGATGTGTCTACCACTGAAGATGGGCCAGGAGCACTGAACCTACCTCCTCACCTCCCGCTATGAACCTGGCTGGCACTGAGTGACAAGAAGTCAACTGTTGTGTTGGGGAATGAGACAAAGCATGGGGAAAAAAATCCCTCTGAGGTGCAGGCTTGCAAAGAGTGCTGAAAGTTGAGGATGGAGCAGGAATACTGAGAGGAAGACTTTTGACATTCAGGGTTCAGCACTTAGCACAAGATAAAAACAGATCTCCACTAGAATTTGAAGTGTGTGTGTGTGTGTGTGTGTGTGTGTGTGTGTGTCTTGATTATATTACCTAAGCACACATTTTGTAGAGTATATACCCAGGATTGTAATGAGTGTCTCATAAATCTGTGCATTTTCTAGGTTAAATATTAACAATGGGTCTTCTAAAGTGGTTGTACCAATTTATACTTCAAGCAGTATATGAGCGTTTTTCTTCTTTCATATCTTTATCAACACCTAGTATTGTTAGTTTTTTGTTACCCATTCTGGTGCATATGTTATGGCATCTCATTGTAGTTTTAATTTGTATTTACCTAATGACGAATGAAAATAAGCTTTTTTCATATGTTTATTGGTCATTTGAATATTCTCATTTATAAAACTTTAATTCAAGTCAATTGTCCAGTTTTTCATCAAGAAGTCCCTGTCACAACCAATCCCCATGACATGTGATTTCCTATGTAAAAAACCTTCACATGTACTCTCAAACCTAAAATAAAAGTTAAAATAATAATAAATAAAAATAAGAAAAAGTCAAGAAATGGCAACATAGGCTTGTTATTTCAATTTACCAAGGTAACTGTCAAACTATTGAAAATAGTTAAATCTTGGGAAAACAAATTGAAGTTTGGCAAATATAGTGACCCTTATTTAGAACAATTATAAGCTTATTGCACTTATTTTACCTTTGGAAGAAACACAGATGTTCATTTAAAAGTGTGTTTTGTGGACTGGTGCCTGTTCAGATCCCTGTATTACTATTTTTGAACATATAAGTACAGAAATTAAGAATAAGCTTTTAGAAATTTTTATAGCAGTATGGCAGGGTAATTTTATTTTTATAGAATTAATACTAAAAATGAACATATTTTATATGTCTGTTTTTTCTTTCACTTTTCTAACAATTCATTTTTGTTATATTTCATAGAATTATTAATCCATGATAGGTTGGAAATTTAGAATAAAACTAGTTATTTACCCTGTGTAGTTTGAGAAATGTTCTATTACCTTATAACAAATGAAAACTTAACTTAAAAAATGAAATAAAATAAACAACTTTGCACTATGTCCAGAAGATGTGTAAGGTGATATTTTTGACTTGGTAACTTAAAAATTTAATATAATAAATATTTAGCATAGTGTTTTTGTTTGGCCAACATCATTTAGTAGAATGCTCAACAACTCAACCTAAACTTAGCCCTTTCTTTTATGTTTGAGAATTCAGTGCTCTCTGAGTGTCAAGAGGGTTATTTATCAAGCAAGCATAAACTAATTTGGCTTTTTGTTATGTGCCAGAACTTTAATTTTTTTTCATGATTATGGGTATTCTTCATTGGTAGAGCACTCTACTTTTCCACCTCTGCAAACACATTATCAGATAGCTCATTGCAGTGAAAGGAAATCTTAGCCAAATTCCTCAGAAAAATGGACATGTATTAGTTATAATGAGGCAGAAGCAGCAAATAAATCAGTTTGCAGGTTGGAATTCCTTCTCTCTGCTCTCTGGTATCCTGGCCAACACTTTTATGTATGTCTCATTTCTAAGCAGATGTGATGATAGTCTTACACTATAAGTGGCAAACCTTGTAATCAGATCTTGAACCAAGACTTTTTTATTTCTCTCTGTCTCTCTTTTTTTTTTTTTTTTTTTGAAGTTGAGAGAAATTAAATCAATACTTTTGGCTTTCTACTGCCATGAATCCTGTTATACCATTCCCAACTATTTCCTTAACTTAAACAGCAGTAACACTGGCAATCAAAAACTTGTTTCATAAAACGTATGTTATTTACTACAACTTAAAATGTCTATACAGATACAGGTTCTTCTTTTGAAAATTATTTTTATTGAGATAAAATTTATGCACAGTAAAATTCACACATTTTAAGTGTACAGTTCTATGCATAATCCCTCATGGGTATAAGTGAAAGTGTTGCAGATAATTTTTCTTTAAATCCTAACTAGCCAGATACAAAAGTTGAATCAAATTAATTAATGTGTTAAATGGCTGATCAAAATATTTTTATTCAACTTACCTATTCATAAACCTCTTATTTCTCAATGTAACATAAAATATAACAGCTTTACTGAAAAATTACATGCTTTCATTAATGAAAAATAAGTAATTATCACAAATGCATTTGGGTCAAATGCTTACGCACTTTGTAATCACCTTATGTTCAATGCCACCGACCTAGGCAAAAGGCTGTAAATATAAGAATTTCTGTGGAAGGCTATTCATTTTTTAACTTGATTATTCATAACACCACTATTAATTATCTTTCACTATATAATTAATAATATATAATTAATTATATTAATATATTTCAAATAATATATTTTAATACGCAATAAATAATATTCTTTACGAACATTACTACCTCAAACAGTAGAAATCAACTGTGTATTACATTCAAGCAGAAATGTTAAAAGCCACTAAACAATTAACTCCTGCACTTTTTCCTCTGCCATAAGAATGTCAGGTACTAAATAGGGACTGTATCTTTAGCCTTTGTTCTGAGATGGAAATTCACAGAGTCATAGCAGTCAACCCACAGGTGCCTAAAATGCTATCAATGAGAAATATATGTTTGATGTTGTTGCTACTGTAATGCCACTTAATATAGTGCATTTATTACGTTGCTAACATTATTTGCCACGTAGACACTTGATTGCAAGTAACATACTCGGTGCTTAACACAGTATCAAACATTCAGTAGTCCTTAATAACTACTGAATTATTCATTACTCATTGATGACACTTGAATAAATAAAAGAACTGAAAGCTATCCTAGGATATAATGTCACCTAAGTTTGGGAAGAAGAAAAGTAGTTAAAATCATTGAGGGCTACTTGAGGAGATGGGAATAGATTGGGTCTTAGGAAACTAGGAACATCGTGAAGCCATTAGCACAACTCTGTGCATTGTCGTTTGCCTAAGAATCTGTAATTAATTTAGTCTAGAAAACAGTTTGGTGGAGCTTGAGTAATGAGTCTTTTGTTTGGCATGCTCCTAGTAAATATTTAATAAAAATCTGTTGATCATAATGCCATTTAAAATAACATTTCATAAAAAATATATCCTGACTTATTAAAATAAAGAAATAAATCAGAACCTAGGGATACTTCATCAAAGATTATAACATTTCTTTGATTAGCAAGTGAGTAATGTAAAAATTCCATGTTATTAAATCAAAGTCACAGCAACACAAATTTACTTGGTTCATTTATTTAAAGAATACATTTTAGCTTTATTTATCATGGTTCTAAGTATGCTTACAAATGTATTGCCTTATTTGGAAAATTTAATTAAATCTCTGCTTTGGGATATCAGTATTATTAATGTGTAAGGATAAATCTGAAACAGACTCGTGAAAATGACAGCATTAATAGCATAGGTATTAATACCTGTTTTTCTCTTTTAGCAACTTCAATTCACCATGTATTTGAATTAATACAGAAGTTTATATCCAGAAGAGTTAAAGTTGTTATAAAATCAGTCTCCTTGGAACTGCTACCATTTATCTTTTTCAATATTGCAGGCAGGTACTATTTCAATTATTTGACACATGGAATTTTGGAAGAATAGTAAACTGTAGCACATCTTTTATTTGTGTCTTAGAAAATTTTTCTGGATTCTACAATTGTTCCAAGGTCTAAGAACTTGTCAGTCCAAACTGTACCAATTACTATTAATGTAAGAAGACTCTGTGACTACATTTTGGTCCTTTATATGATCTCCTGAATTTTATATTGACCTGCTGGTGAAGAATATTCTGATACATTGCAATATTGACTTACTAATAAATTACTACAAATATAAAAGAGAGACCAAACTTTGTTCACTTTATTGCTATAGGAAGTCAATTTATAGCATTTCATTAAAGAAAAAAACTCCATGTGAATCTTTGTTATTGACACATAGTCATTCAATAAAATAGGTGATTCATATATTAACTATAGAAGATTTAAACATTTAAAATTTAAAAATTTGTCTGACAAATTTCTGAGAAAGTTGATATACCTGAAAAAATACTCATAAACCAGATGCTTTATCCCTAGTATTAGAGAAAGCTTCACAAAGATGCTCAGGTTGAAAATTTAAAATAATATAATTTAGTTAGATGTCAGAAAAAAGGAGATGTGGGTAGGATGAGGGAGCATTCCATTTAGAGATATCAGCACAAGAAAAAGTAAAGAGGTATGAAAATGTGAAAGATTTGAAGAAGTGCATTGAAATTTATTTTCAGAAGAAAATTTAAAAATAGAGAAATAGACAATTTTAAAATCATAGTTTATTTAAATCCCCATAGCAGTCAGTCATCTGTTCTAAATATATCACTTTGTTCAAGGACATCAATATTACTGCAGGTTCCAAGATGAGTGAAAAACATACTAACTCTTTAAGAGTCACTGTTTTTCAAGAATATTTATCTATTGCATATTTTATGGTCCACAGTCATGCCCGTTAATCCCCTCTTTCAAAGTAATTCACATTTAGCTAGGTAGCCAAAATGAATGTGGTTAGGTGAAATATTTTTATACGATCTTTTACAAGTACTTGTAGCCTGAATTAGAAAAACTGAATCTTTCCAAAGATGAGGACTGAGACTACTTCTAAATCCACACTTTATTCTGGTTTTGAAAATAAAACTGTGCTAATGGAAAGCATTGTTTTCCAGCATGAATTTAATTATTGTGGTCTATATTTCCTGATGAAGAGAGTAGGTTCCTGGCAAAATTATGTTATATTTGCATTTTGATAGCATACAGTTTTAGGCTGTTCCCTTCAAATTCAGAGAAATACAAATACATTATATTAGAGTATTCTCAAGAGAAATATAAGTATTCCATTATATTTTACCAGGCACATTCATGGGACTTCCAATACAATCTATAATTTTTGTAAATCAAACAGCCAAGTAATGAAATATGTTATTTTCCAGAAAGTAGGATACATACATCTCTTTCATCACTGATAAGCTTATTTCATTTCTCTAGCATGTAAATCATTAATCTCTTAGAGTTGTGTTTATTACAAGAGGATTTTTTAATACCAACATGTGAAGCTTATATAAGATGAAGATAAAATATTTAGATTTTTATCAATATAGTCTCAAGAGTAAAAGCTTTAATAAACAAACATGGATTTACAAAGCAAACAGCATGGGGATAATTTTTCAAATTACATAATGTTTTCATTGTTTGAAAACAAAACAAGAACTACAACACCAAAAAGAGTAAGGGCTCCTTTCCACAGCAAATGCCCTAGTTTAATAAAAGAAAGATTTGATTGTTAAAATTAGAATTTGTATATAAATTTGCAGAAACATATTTATTCTCTACAGTGAAGTTAGTAGATATGTAAAGACATTAATTAGTACCAATAACAACATGTATATTGTACCTTTGATGTTGTCTTAGTTTCCATAAAATCTGTTATTTTGACAGTGTTCATTTAGCATGAATAATAAATCAAAATATTTTAACCTAATAATTGATGGTCATTATTCATAGAACAACAATAATTAAAATTTGATTTGTTTATTTATGATAAACATGGTAGAATAATTAGCTATGTGAAAAGCATTTATTTTAAATAGGTTCATGTGTCTTTTGATAAACAAAAGATCTACACATTTTATCTCTGTCCCTAGTACATTTATTCCATCACAGAACTTCTTAGTTTGAAAACATAATTTATATACACAGTTTGCCTTTTAAACTGGAATTTCAATCTTTCAACAAGTGTTTATTAAGCACTAAGCACTAGGGAAAAAAGCAGTTAATACAATAGGAATAACTCCTTTTCTCATGGACAACCATCTACTACAGTGTTTCCTAAGCAGCAGTATTTTTAGATGTTGTCTAAAGGTACATAATTCTCTATAAAAATTTTAAAACACAACTTTCCACGATAATTAAAATGTATTTTATGCTGTCTAATATGATCATCACAGCCACATGCAACTAGGGTAGTTGAACAGAGACTTTAATTAACTAATTAATTAATTAATTTTTTTGAGACAGAGTCTCTCTCTGTTGCCCAGGCTGGAGTGCAATGGCTCCATCTCGGCTCACTGCAACTTCTGCCTTCTGGGTTCAAGCAATTCTTTTTCTCTGCTTCTCGAGTAGCTGGGTCTACAGGCCTGTGCCACCATGCCTGGCTAATTTTTGTATTTTTAGTAGAGAGGGGTTTCACCATATTGGCCAGGCTGGTAATTTAATTAAATATTAACTTAAATATTAATTTTTTATATTAACTTCTCTTTAATGATTAGTGGTTATTGTACTAGAAAATGCAGTGCTAGATGTTCTTAGAGTTGATACTGCAATGCGAACTAGGCACTTGTGTTTGATTTTATGTTTATACCCAGGCTTGCGATGTTTGGAGGCCCAATGATAACATGGCTGACCATCCTACTGATAAATGTTTCCCAATGCATAATTTGAATAGTGAAAGATGGTGAGAGCTTTTGGGTATCATAAAACTATAGCAAATATGGACACTGGCCTGGTACAGTGGCTCACATCTGTAAATCCAGCACTCTGGGAGGCCGAGGTGGGCAGCTCGCTTGAGCTCAGGATTTTGAGACCAGCCTGGACAACATGGCAAAACCCCATATTTACCAAAAATACAAAAAATTACCCGGACATGGTGGTGCACCTAGCTACTTGGGAGGCTGATGTGAGGAAGGCTTGAGCCCAGGAGGTGGAGGTTGCAGTGAGCCGAGATCACACCACTGCAGTCCAGCCTGGGTGACAGAGTAAGACCTCATCTCATCTCAAAACACACACACACACACACACACACACACACACACACACACATATAGTAAATAAGAATGTCTAACTGGAAAAGTCCAATGGCATAGTAGCAAGTATGCAATTTAGGTTACAAGCATTGCTTAAGTCTATTAATTTGCCTTGTAAATTTGCTTCATATATTTGTTTAAGAATTATAAACAAAAGCTAACTCAGTTTTATGCTGTACTTATTTAAATAAAAAATAATTTAAATATTTTATCAATGCTGAAGAGAACTTTTTTTCTTGAAAAGGGTCATTAGTCACTGAAATTTGAGAAATATTAGTCTAGCAAATAAGATGTAGTCACTGTGTTGGCATTATTCAACTAGCTTTGTGGCCTATTTGACTCTCACAACCACTCTGTGAGGCAGTTATAACCAAGATCACCAATTTATAGCTTTGGAAAGAGGTTACTACTTCAGCAATCTGCTTAAAGTCCTATAGAACAAACAGTGATTCAGGGTTTAAATTCACATCCTTTTTATTCCAGAATAGTATATGCAGTATGCTAAGAAGAATAATGGCTCCCCAAGGGTGTCTACCTCCTAATCCCTACAAATGGTGAATGTGTTACCTTAAGTGGCAGAAGATACTTTGCAGATATGGTTAGGTTAAGCATCATGAGCCTGTTCAGTAGGTCCAACATAATTACAAAGGGTCTTAGAAAATGGAGGAAGGAAGCTCAGAATGAGAGAAGGAGACATGATGATGGAAGCAGAGGTCAGAGTGATTTGAGAAAGGGACCACAGGCCAAGGAAGGCAGGAGGCCTCTAAGGAACTAGGAAGGTTAAGGAAATGGATTCTGCTCTAAAGCCTCCAGAAGGAATACAATACTGCTGACACCTTGAAGACATCCTTACAAGGTAGTTTAGGGTCCATTTCATACCCCTTTGTGAGGAGGGACTTGGGGGAGAGTGTAGGGAGGGATGTTGTGCTTCATTAAAAACCCCTTTCTTCCAGCATACATCGCAATAAAGGAGCTTTCAATTCAGTAACATGTAGGACACTCTCAAGAGGATTTCTGATAAATACATTCTTCTCCCTCATTTAATTTCCAGTGATGTTTTATGGGCAATTAGTTACAGATTGGATACATACACTTTAAAGTGTTTAGTTTATTGATCCCATAATCTGGCTCAAAAACAACTTAGGTTTTTATTAGAAAACAGACGAAAAAAATGAAATAGACACATTTGGTCCTGAAAAGAGGCTGGAGAATCTAGGATGTTGTATAGAGACACGCGCTCAGAATTATCCACCAACAATATTGTCACCCTCCTATGCCAACACTGAAAATGGTTGCCATTTTTCAGAAATGAATCATCTCTACTTTGCAAAATAATACAAAATCCCAGAGTGGAAAGTGAAAGAAGATAAAGGTAAGGGGTTAATTACTATATTTTAAAAATAACGCTTTGTAAGACAAAATTGCTTATTTATGTTTTATTGAGGGCCAGGAGGGCATCTTCATCATATCACATAGAATTAGTTCTGCAAATAGTGTAATTACTATGCTTGTCTCATTATGCTGCTATTTTCTGGTTTTCTAGGATAAGGAGAGAAAATTATTGGCTGCCTTTTCACAGATTCCTGGTTTTATTTTCTCTCTAGGGTATAATTTGTAAGAATAGAAAATAAATCTGTTACACATTGTAAAAAATATAGAATCATAAACTAGTTTTACTTAAGTTGAATATATTCATATATACCAATAAGAGAAACAATACTATTAATTGTATTTATGAAAGACCCAAATTTACAAAGCCGAAGAGTATGAGTTTTTTATCTTTACATAAAACCTACAAAGATTTGTAAAGCAACTATAGATTACCATTTTACAGCTGAAAAATTCTGAGTCTAGAAAGATCAACATGCTTAAAGTCATGCAGATGGTAAAGTAGTTGAATCTAGAACTTGAACCCAATACTTGGCATTTTCTTTTGGTTTTGGGTTGCTTTTTTGATTCATTGGTGAATGATTTGGTAAATGAGATAGGTGCTCCTAACACCTAGGAAGTTAGAATTGTCCATTGGAATAAACAGCTGATTTCATTATAGAAACTTGGATAAGGTATTAGGAAAGGTTAAGAAAGGAAGCCACCATTTATTGTGCTGGAACTTAGAGGCCATAGATGTAAAAATTTAAACGTTAGTGAAACAATCAGTTCATTACCTAGACTATCTCCATAATTACAACCTTCTTTATATTTGAGTACTCTTACGTAAATTGTAACTGGCTATTCAATTTTATATTATGGTGATGGGTATATTGTCTAGGTAATGTTTGGTGATAGGTGCTAGGCACTTCTATATTATCTGATTGAATCCTCATAGCAACACTGAGGTACATATTATTTTACCACTAAAATCTGAGACTCACAGGTTGAATGCCCTTCCTGAAGTTATACAGCTAGAGAGTGGCAATCTAATAAACATTCTTTCCATCATGCTATTCCCTGCTACTAAGTTTGAAGGGAGTTACTAACTGTCTTACTCCATGACAGATTCCTGCAAATCAAGTAAAAAAAAAAGATTCTTTGGAGAGGGCATGTATCATTGCTTTTCCATAAAAGTTGCCCTTCCTAAGTGATAGTTACAAGTGAATGATTTCTTTAAAAGAGAGTGAGCATCTTTGCCTTGTTCCAGTTCTCAAGGGGAATGGTTCCAGCCTTTACCCATTCAGTATGGTATTAGTTGTGGGTTTGTCATAGATTGCTCTTATTATGTTGTGGTATATTTCTTTGACGCCTGGTCTGTTGAGGGTTTTTATCATGAAATGATGTTAAATTTTACTGAAAGCTTTTTCTGCATCTATTGGGATGATCATATGGCTTTTGCTTTTAATCCTGTTTATGTGGTGAATCACCTTTATTGATTTGCCTATCTTGAATCTACCTTGCATTGCAGGAAGGAAGCCTACTTGATCATGGTGAATTAACTTTTTGATGTGCTGCTGGATTCAATTTGCTAGTATTTTATTAAGATTTTTGCATTTATATTCACCACGGGTATTAGCCTGAAGTTTTCTTTGTTGTATCTCTCTCAGATTTTGGTATTAGGCTGATGAGGTAGGGAGGAGTTCCTCCTTTTTGATTTTTCGGAATAGTCTCAGTATGATTGAAACCAGTTCTTTGTCTTTCTGGTAGAATTTGGCTGTGAATTCATTTGATCCAGGGTCTTTTTGGATTGGTAGGGTTTTTTTTTTATTAATAATTCAATTTCAGAGCTCGATATTGGTCTATGCAGAGTTGCAATCACTTCCTGATTCAATCTTGGGAGATTGTGGGTTTCCAGGTATTTATCCATTTCCTCCATATCTTCTTATTTGTGTGCATAGAGTTTCTCATAGTATTCTCTAAGGAGCTTTTGTATGTCTGTGTGATTAGTTGTAATGTCATCTCTGCCACTTCTGATTGTATTTATTTGGATCTTTTTTTTTCTTTATCTAGCTAGCAGTCTATTAATCTTATTTATTTATTTTTTGAATAACCAACTCTTGGCTTCACTGATGTTTTGTATGGATTTTTGAATCTCAATTTCATTAAAGTTCCTCTCTAATTTTGATTATTTTTTATCTTCTGCTAGCTTTGGAGTTGGTTTGTTCTTTTGTTTTCTAGTTCTTTTAGGTACAAGGTTAGATTAATAATTTTAGATCTTTCTAACTTCCTGATGAAGGTGTTTAGGGCTATGAACTTTCTTCTTCATATTGCCTTGGCTGCATCCCAGAAATTTTGGTAACTTATGTCCCTATTTTCATTAATTTCAATTTTTTAAAAAAATTTCTGCCTTAATTTTGATGTTTACCCAGAAGTTATTCAGAAACAAGTTGTTCAATTTCCAGCCTGTGGTCAATCTTAGAATATGGTCTATGTCCAGATGATAAGAATATATATTCTGTGGTTTTTGGGTAGAGTGTTCTGTAGATGTCTATTAGGTCCAATTGGTCAAGTGTCAAGTGTAAGTCCAGAGTTTCTTTGTTAGGTTCCTGCCTTGATGATCTGTTTAATGCTTTCAGTATGGTGTTGAAGTTCCCTACTATTATTGTGTGGTTGTCTAAGTCTTTTTGTAGACCAGGAAGAACTTATTTTATGACTCTAGGTGCTCCTATGTTGGATAGTCAATGAAATAGAAAACAATCTTAAAGGTATCTAGAGAAAAGGGTCAATTTATATATGGAGGGAAAACCATCAGGTTAGCAGCAGACTAAATTAACATAGTTAAGGCTTCTTTTTGGATTGTACCCTTTATAGTTATGCAATGTCCTTCATTGTTCTTAATTTTCATTAAAGTCTAAAGTCAATATTGAGAGGTTTTCTGTTCTAGAAATTCAGTTTAGTTCTGTATTAAAATGGTTGTTTTATCTAACTTAAGAAGAGCTATTCCTGTTTTTTGTTGTTGTTGTTGTTTTCTTTTTGCCTGGTTGATATTTCTCCATTATTTCACTTTGAGCCTGTGAGTGTCATCACATTTGAGATGGGTCTCTTGAAGACAACAGATGGTAGGGTTTGTCTTTTTTATCCAGCCTGCTACTCTGTGTTCTTAAATGGGGCATTTAGCTCATTTACATGCAAGGTTGATAATTATATCTGTGATTTTAATCCTGTCATCATGTTGTTTGCTAGTTGTTAGGTAGACTTGATTGTGTAGTTGATTTAGCATAACTGTGGGCTATGTGCTTGTGTGTTTTTGTGGTAGTAGGTGTGATTCTTTTGACCCCATGTTTAGCATTCTCTTAGGAACCTCCCATAAGTCTGATCTAGTTGTAATGTATTCCTTCAGCATTTGCTTGTCTGAGAAAGATTTTATTTCTCCTTTATGCATAAAGTTTAGTGAGGCAGGATATGAAATTCTTGGTTGGAATTTCTTTTCTTTTAGGACACTAAACTTAGGCTCCCAGTCTCTTCTGGCTGAGAGGTCTGCTACTAACCTGACAGTGTTCCCTTTCTAGATAACTTGACCCTTCTTTCTAGCTGCATTTAAGAATTTTTTCTTTTGCATTGACCTTGGTTAATCTGTTGACTATGTGCCTTGTATAATACCTAGACTAGGTTCTCTGTATTTCTTGGGTAAGCACATCAACCTCTCTAGTGAGATTAGGGGAATTTTTGTGGACTATATCCACAAATATATTTTTCAAGCTGCATATTCTCTCTTCTTCTCTCTCAGAAATGCCAATGGATTGTAGGTTTGCTCTCTTTACATAACCCCACATTTTGTGGAGGTTTTTTCATTTTTCTTAATTCTTCTTTTTTAAAATTTTTGTCCCACTGAGTTTAGCCAAAGAACTGATCTTCTGGCTCTGAGATTTTTTCCTCAGCATGGTCTATTCTGCTGTTAATACTTCCTAGTGTATTACGAAGTTTTTGTAGTGAGTTTTTCAGCTCTAGAAGTTTAGTTAGGTTCTTTCTTAAATTTGCTATTTCATCTTTCAACTCTTAGATCATTTTACTGGATTCTTTAGTTTCCTTGGATCAGGTTTCTACTTTCTCCTAAATCAGTGAGTTTCCTTACCATCCAAATTCTGAATTCTGTATCTGTCATTTCAGTTGTTTCAGAATGGTTATGAACTATTGCTGGGGAGCTATTATACTTGTTTGGGGGTAGGGGGACTGATAAGCTTTGGCTGTGTCCCCACCCAAATCTCATCTTGAATTGTAGCTCTTATAATTCCCATGTGTTGTGGGAGGGACCTGGTGGGAGATAATTGAATTGTGGAGGCAGTTTCCTCCATACTATTCTCATGAGAGTGAGTAAGTATTATCAGAACTGATGCTTTTATAAGGGGGAGCCCCTTTTGCTTGGGTCTCATTTCTCTCTTTGCTTGCTTCCAAGTAAAATATGCCTTTGTTCTTCCCTTGCCTTCCACCATGATTGTAAGACCTCTCCAGCTATGTGGAAAGGAGGTCCATTAAACCTCCTTTTCTTTATAAATTACCCAGTCTTGGGTATGTCTTTATCAGCAGCATGAGAACAGACTAATACAGTAAATTGGGACTAGGGGTAGGGTGCTGCTGTAAAGATACCGACAGATATGGAAGCGACTTTGGAACTGGGTAACAGGCAGAGATTGGAACACTTTGGAGGCTCAGAAGAAGATAGAAAAATATGAGAAAGTTTGGAACTTCCTAGAGACTCTGAGGGCTCAAATGACAGGAAAATTTGGGAAAGTTTGGAACTTCCTAGAAACTTGTCGAATGGCTTTGACCAAACTGTTGATAATGATATGGACAATGAAATCCAGGCCGAGATGATCTCAGATCTCCATCTGAGATGAGGAACTTGTTGGGAACTGGAGTAAAGGTGACTCTTGCTACAATTTAGCAAAGAAATTGGTGGCATTATGCCCCTGCCCTAGAGATCTTTGAAAATTTGAACTTGAGGGAGATGATTTAGGGTATCTGGTGGAAGAAATTTCTAAGCAACAAAACATTCAAGAGGTGACTTGGGTGCTATTAAAAGCATTCAGTTTTAAAAGGAAACCAGAGCATAAAAGTTCAGAAAATTTGCAGCTTGATGATGGGATAGAAAAGAAAAACCCATTTTCTGAGGGGAAATTCAAGCCAGCTGCAGAAATTTGCATAAGTAATGAGGAACCAAATATTAATCCCCAAAACTGTCTCCAGGGCATGTCAGAAGTCTTCAAGGAAGCCCCTCCCATCATAGGTCCAGAGGCCTAGGAGGAAAAACTGGTTTCATGGGCCAGGCCCAGGGCCACCCTGCTCTCTGAAGTCTAGGGACTTGGTGCCCTGGATTCCAGCTGCTCCAGCCATTGCTAAAAGGGGCCAAGGTACAGTTTGGGCTGCTGCTTCAGAGGGTGTAAGCCCTAAGCCTTGGCAGCTTCCACATGGCATTGAGCCTGTGGGTGCATGGAAGTCAGGAATTGAGGTTTGGGAACCTCTGCCTGGATTTCAGAGGATGTATGGAAACACCTGGATGCCCAGGCAGAAGTTTGCTGCAGGGGCAGGGCCCTCATGAAGAACCTCTGCTAGGGCAGTGTGGAAGAGAAATGTGGGGCCAGAGCCCCCACACAGAGTCCCTACTGGGACACCACCTAGTGGAGCTGTGGGAAGAGGGCCACTGTCCTCTGGACCCCAGAATGGTAGATCCACCGACCGCTTGCACCATGTACCTGGAAAAACCACAGACACTCAATGCCAGCCTGTGAAAGCAGCCAGGAGGTAGGCTATACCCTGCAAAGCCACAGGGCAGAGCTGCTCAGACCATGGAAACCTACCTCTTGCATCATCATGACCTGGATGTGAGACATGGAGTCAAAGGAGATCATTTTGGAGCTTTAAGATTTGACTGCCCTACTGGATTTCAGACCTGCTTGGGGCTGGTAGCTCCTTTGTTGTGGTCAATTTATCCCATTTGAAACAGCTCTATTTACTCAATGCCTGTGCCCCCATTGTATGTAGGAAGTAATTAACTTGCTTTTTATTTTACAGGCTCATAGGTGGAAGGGACTTGTCTTGTCTCAGAAGAGACTTTGGACTGTGAACTTTTGAGTTAATGCTGAAATGAGTTAAGACTTTCGGGGACCATTGGAAAGGCATGACTAGTTTTGAAATGTGAGGACATGAGATTTGGGAGGGGACAGAGGTAGTATGATTTGGTTTGGCTGTGTCCCCACCCAAATCTCATCCTGAATTGTAGCTCCCATAATTCCCATGTGTTGTGGGAGGGGCCTGGTGGGAGATAACTGGATCATGGGGGCAGTTTCCTCCATACTGTTCTTGGTAGTGAATGGTAGTGAATAAGTATCAGAAGATCTGATGGTTTTATAAGGGAAAAACCCCTTTTGCTTGGTTCTCATTTCTCTCTTTGCCTGCTGCCATGAAAGACATGCCTTTGTTCTTCCCTCACCTTCTGCCATTATTGTGTGGCCTTTCCATCCATGTGGAACTGTGAGGCCATTAAACCTCCTTTTCTTTATAAAGCACCCAGTCTTGGGTATGTCTTTATAGCAGCTTGAGAACAGACTAATACAGGGGCTCTGGCTTTTTGTACTGACAGAATTCTTGTGTTAATTCTTTCTCATTGGGGAGAGTTAGTGTTTTTTTAACTGTGGTCTAAGTTGAGTATAGTCAGTTGGCTTTGCTTCTGGATGCTTTCAGAGGGCCAGTGCTCTGTATAGGATTTTTATGTGTGAGTGAATTAGTGTGCTTGGTTCCACAGGTGTCTATATTATCAGAAAAAAATTTTGGTGTTGTAGTTTGAACCGTAATCCAATAGATGACACTTAGGAGTAATGAACCATAGCTAGATTAATGCCCAGCCTGTGGGTTCTTTTGTACTTCCTCACATTAGCAAGCATCCTTGGCAGGGGGGTAGTAGGGGAGAGAGATAGCCCCCTCACCAGGTTTGCTCCTGGGCCTTGGGGGAGCGCCCTCCAGATAGCTGGTGCTGCTCCTGCATTTCTTTTGTCAGATGTTCTGAGCTATGGTGGCACCTTGGGCAGAGACTCTGGCAGGGAGATATGCCACACTCTCTTTGGATCAGCCCTATGGAGGGAGGCATGCACCACACCTACCCTACCCAGAAGCCCATGCCTCTTGTTTCTCTCATTGCTCTGAGGGATAGGTCTTCTCCCCTGCTTGAGTATCAGCCACACACCTTGGCTCTGTACTCCTGAGTTGTGCACTGCAGCCCTAGGGGCAGTGGGACATCTTGGGGTTCAGGTTCTAGTTCCAACTCTCCTAGGGGATCTTATATGCTCCTGGGTCACCAGGAAATCACTCAGGTGCAGCAACATACTCAGGCTGGGCTGTGGGGGTTGCACTGTGCACCCACTCCTGCACCTCTCCTGCAGGATGACTAGGCATGGACCCTGGGAGGGACCGGCAGGTATGAAGCCTTGTAGAGCAGATGTGTCTCACTCTCATAGGGAAGCTAGCCCCACTGTCTCCTGGCTTGGAGATCAGCTGGGGCTTTGCCTCCTGGAGGAGAATGGGGATCTCTGAGGAATTGGCATCTGTGGCCATTGTCTGCTGGACTTGCCTGGCTCACAAAAGCTCCCAGGTCCCTTGCTGTCCAAAGGGCTGTCTCTACCTGTTCCCTAGGGAAATCCACTGCCAGCTCACACATCCATGGGGGATACAAGGTTCCCTGTAGCTAGGATCTTAGAGGTCTGCTGCAAGCATAATGCATCCCTCAGTTCCCTCACTCACCCCTTTCCCAGGAACCATTTGGGGCCAGGAACTAAACCTGGCATGTGGACACCCCACACAGGGTTCTCACCTTCCTCTCTCTTCAACCTGGTCTTCAGCATTGCCTCTCCATCCACTCTTATTGTTTTATCTCCAAAGAGATCTGCCCAAATTATGATGGTTTACTCAATAATTTGGTCTCTCTTGGTGGGAGTGGTGCTTCTTGACTGCATCTAGTTGGCCATCCTGTGCCCTATCCCCTGACGTGAATGATTTTCTTTCCTGTGATACAAATTGGTAATAACAGAACATTTTAAGGGAGCACTGCTAAAGTTTCAGGAAAACCTTTGCAACAGTGGGCAAATGAAGGACATACGGTGACTCTGGTAGAGATAACCCCAGGGCCAGCCAGTGAACAAGGAAGCCATTACAAACAAGGCAATGGGTGCCAGTTATGCTGACAAACACTGCTGACATAGGGGAGTTGGAAAACAAAGTTTTGTTCCTGAGAAAGGTACACATTACAGCATAACACTCTTATTATAGCATTAAAGAAAGTTGAGGAGTAGTATACTTAAAACCACTGTGCCAAAAAAGAATGTTCCAGACTCTTTGGGATGCATCTCATTTTGATTCCTCTAAAGTAGTGCACATGGATTTTTTTTTCTGTGCATTGCTTGAAAGTAAATGTGACAGTCACATGAAGTGAAGCATAAGTTGTCTGTTTAGTTCTTTCATGTATTCTGAACATATATATCAGTTTCTAGCACACAGTAGGCTCTCAATAAATGTTTGCTGAATGAATGAATGAATCAATAGATCACTGCATGTAAGCGGTCTTCAGTAATCACACACTTAGCAGTGCAATTTATTTAACACATAAATATAGCATCTACTTTTAGTACAAATGGAAAAGACTTCAGGAAAAATTTGGTCTAACCTCCCCATTTTGTAAATGAAAATGAGGTCCTAAGAAAAGACACGGTTTAACCAAGGTTACACAGAAGCTGGAAATCTAGACAAAAATAGAGAAAAGGATTATCAGCTACCAGTTCAGGTTTTGTCCTCCCCCACTTCCTTTTGTATCTATAATGTAACTAAGCAACATCTATAATTTGATCGAAGGAGACCTCCAGAAAAGAAGCAGCAATTGATTGTTGTATACATATTTAAAACTTAAGCTAATCTTGGGTTGTCCATTTTTCTTCTAAAGCTTAGGCTCAATGACTGCTACTGTCCCTTCTGTCTCTATGCTGCTTCATTTAAATGCCACATCAATGTATGGGGACGGGCTTTGATTACACATGTATGTGCTTATCCTTTCCTCTTTTAACAGAGTGGGATGACGTAGATTGTCTTGATTTTTGAACCAAAATTGGGATTTACAGAAGGTAAAATGGATAATTTAAGATTACACTTGCACAGTACAAGACTTATTGCTAGAGACTGAAAGCTCACTTCTTTCTCTCAGAGGTAGCTGGATGCTGTTGAGTAGAGTTGTGGGCTGTACATATTCCTGTGTGGTATTTAGCATGTTTGTCTGATCTAATTTGTATGAAACTAGTGTGCAGAGTGGAAGGGGTGACTACCTCCCCAGAAGGTAGAATACTAACGAGTTTCTTTGTTATGTCACTTCATATACATTCAGGCTGATTTTCAAGTTTTATTAGATCATACAATTTTGGAGAATGTATCAAAAAGTAGTTAAGAAGGTGGGTTTTAGACTTAGACAAGCGAGGACTTGAACCATGTCTCTAACACATCTTTAGCATACATGTGTAAAATGAACAAGCAAATAATAAATAAACAAGTATTTATTACTTTTAAATAAAGTAATATCCACCAAGTGCTTAGCATAATACCTCTTCCATATGCCATCTTTTTTTGAATTATTATTGTTCAAATTTTCTGTTTTATAAGTGAGAAAAATTGGAAAATCAGGGAGCCACCTCATACACATAACTAGAGACTCAAGACTCGGAACTAGTTTTCTGATTCCATAGATTTCAGCCCGTTGCTATCATTGTTTGAGGATGCATCAACTCAAGGTGGGTGAGGAACAGGTGGAAGTGTATTCTCAGAGTCTTTCCTTTCCTTTTACTTCTGTGTACCTGGTTCTTTAGGGAAAGAGAAAACCTTGCTGACTCTGGCCCTTCAGTATCACCCATCTCTCCCACCCTGCCTATGCTGAGTTAAAGAGTTAAAGACTGTGAGTGGGATATTACTATGGACTCCTACAATTGAGGAATTAGTATGTAGCCAATTTCTCCATCATTCTATAATTGATAGAATAGAAAAATAGTACAGCGTTGAATAAGACGGGGAAAATATTTTCCATAATGAATATATTCATGGGTTTATGAATTTGGCCACTTTAAGTGAAAGGGAGGCATATTGTACAATCGAATGTCCCGTGGCATTATTTATTCAAGATAAAACTAAAATTATTGTTACCACCTTCTTGTCACATGGGGAAAACATGGACATAACGGAATTATGCTTGTTGCTTACTTAAGGAAAAGTACTATAATAGCACCAAATCCATGAACATGTGAGGCATGTCATCAGACAGATTCATAAAAGATAGTCCCACATTTGTTTTACATGTTCAAAGAGTACTTGTGAGCTGGGCACAGTGGTTCATGCCTGCAATCCCAACACTTTGAGAGGCTGAGGATAGAGACACTTGAGGCCAGGAGCTTGAGACCAGCCTGGTCAACATAGTGAGACCCGATCTCTATAAGAAATAAAAATATTAGCCAGATGTGGCAGTGTGTGCCTGTAGTTCTGGCGACTCGGGAGGCTGAGGCAGGCAAATTACATTACTTCAGCCCAGGAGTTAGAGAATGCAGTGAACTATGATCATGCCACTGTACTCCAGCTCAGGAAATAGAATGAGATCTCATCTCTAAAACAAACAAACAAACAAAAAGAAAAACAACTTGTGGCAGCACTGGTATGGCCTGGAACCAAATTCTAATTCAGGCTATGCCATTAACCAAGTAGGAGCTTTAGCAAGTCAACAAACCACCCCAGGCCTTCATTTCCATATCTGTATAATTCGACCCCTGAACTACATGATTGTTAAAATCTCTTTCCATTCTAAAAGGTGCTTGGTCAACAGTGAACTAGATTCTACTGCAGTTTCTTCTAGGTTCTTCAATTTAATTTCAATTTCACAAGCATTTTTGAGTACTATATTAGGTACTAAAGTTAAAAAGATGAAAACAAATAAATTACTCATGGTTGTAGAGGAGACAGACATATAAACAAATAGCTATAATATATTGAGTAATAAGTATAATAAGAAAAGAACATATAAAGTATAGCACCACGATCAAATATGGATTGATTCAGGAGAAGAAGCAGACGGCCAGGAGGAAGTGATATATAACCTGGACTTAGAAGGATGAATAGGAGTTTACTATAAAAAAAATACGGAGAAAGCCAGAAGGAATAGGTCACACAAAACCGACAAAGGTATAAAACTGCCTGAAACATTCATAAAACAACAGATAGTTCAATATTACAGGTGTTTAGCATTATAAGAGGGGCTAGTATGCATGTCAGGAGATGAGTTATGACAGGTTAGCCAGAATAAAATGGTGAAGAGCCTTGTAACACAGACTTCAAAGGATAGTTTTTATCTTGTAGTTTTTGGAGAATCCAATTTTAATGACAATTTCTATGCCTTCTAATACAAAATGTACTGTGTAGAAAACTTGATATGTCATATGTTGTTGCCAATGCAGCCTTTGTGATTATACATGTGTAACTGAGTATGCAGATATAGATTTGGTATCTTGTTCAGCCTCAGATCCTGTTAAATATTTTGTTTAGTAGCTGAAGGGACAGGAAACACATTTAGAAGATACTCTGGCCACTAAGTTAGTTTATTGCCTTCTCCTAGGGCACTATAACAGCCACTGACTTTGATTTTCTAGGAAGCTTTCTGGAAACTGTTAACAAAGATATTGGGCATGTCATATATATATAATACATAATATATACTATATATTATATATACTATATATTATATACTATATAGTATATAATATAATGTTATACTATACAGTATATAGTATATAGTTATACTATGCAGTATAGAGTATATAGTTATACTATGCAGTATATAGTATATAGTTATACTATACAGTATATAGTATATAGTTATACTATACAGTATATAGTATATAGTTATACTATACAGTATATAGTATATAGTTATACTATACAGTATATAGTATATAGTTATACTATATAGTATATAGTTATACTATATAGTATATAGTATATAGTTATACCATATAGTATATAGTATATAGTTATACCATATACTATATAGTATATAGTATATAGTTATAACTATATACTATATATATATATTAGCATGGACATGATTGTATTCGTCTCTAAGATGCTCTTTGTTAGATTGGGGCACAAACATCTCAGTTAATCTGTTTCACTGGAAATGAGGAATGCAGCACAGCATCCCTAGGGGACTCAGCTTCAGGCCAGTCAGGGCACAAAGAAAATGCCTTAAGTGCATGTTTTCTTGGGATCAATGTCTCCTAGACCTTGGGCAAAAATAGCCAACCCATCTGCTCCAGGAAGACATGAATCAGCAAGTTGGAGAAGCAGCATTTCATTCTTAGAAGGTCATTTCTGAAACAAAACAATATTTTATGCCCACGGCTCAGCTTCAAAAGACAAAGAAAAATTTTTTTTCATTACATATATTACAACATCCTAAATGTTTTCTGTGCCAAAATAGAAGCAGAAAAGGAAAATGATTCATATATGTTTTAGTCAAAGCCTATCTTAAAAGTGCACACCTGGGCACATAACAGATATTCACAGAATGTAAGTTATGATGACCATGAAGATGTTTGTCACTGGTGTTTCTCATCCTTTTTTCCTTGCATTCCTCAGACTGCCACCCCCTTATTTTCTCTATGGGCAAAATTTGCCATCCTATCACCTTGTTTCCTTTAATCTAAGTGTATGTATCCCATTCATGGCTGCTGTAGTCCCTATGGGGTGCCCGAATAGGTAATATATGTCTAAACATGCATAATATACCATCAGCTGCAGACCAGCTTTTTCTCAGGGTATTACAAAGACATAATAATTGTGGGAATTTCAAACCCAATGCCATGTCAGCAGGATGTGTTGTAATAGACTAGAACTTTGCTACTGAGATTGTACTCTGTGGACGGACACCAATAATATCACTTGTAAGTGCAATAAAATTCAGAACTTCAGCCCCACCCTAGAAGACTGAAGGTGATTCCTATGCACATAAAACTTTGGTAAGTCCTCCTTTAGATTTTAGGCATTAAGAGCGCCTGGCCCAAAGTAGGCACTGGGTTTGTGTTTATTTTCTACCCTGACAGGTTTGGAGGACCTTCTTAGCTATTGAAACCCTACTACCCCTTCCAGCACTGATGGCACGCTGCAGATAACCTTTCTGATTAGGTATTCTGATTAGGTAAAAGAAAAATTAAAAGGAACACTCAGAGAACCTCTGCTTGGATTCGTGACTGAGGTTTGTGGCATTCAGGAGACTAAAAGTTTTCTTAAGAAATCTTTCAAGTGAGTCTGACATTGCATCTGATTAATGTTTTTTTTATTCCAGAGGATAACAGGCTGTTTAGGACCTATAAACTACATTTTGTGCTCCTTCAGGCAGGTTGGCCATGACAAAAAAGTGTGAAATAGCATTTTGTGTTCAGGAAACTAACATGATTCAGTGAGCTTGGTGGAGAGTAGAGAATCAAGGCTGAGAAAAATATCAGGAACAGGACCATGGTAGGGTGAATATACTATGTAGGGTGTTTGTTTGGAGGATCCTGGGTGGAGGGGCCGGGGGTGGGCAGATCATGTGACTTTTAGGAAAATATTTTCATACCGCAGAAGGTCAGTTAGCAAAATATTCTCATAGGCAAGATAAAACGTAGTTAATTACTTTTAAATTCTGGTGAGGGAAGTAAGATGGAGAGGAATAGATGTTTTAAGATATCATGAGAAGGTAGAGTTGAAAGGTATTAGTGACAGATGTGGATGTAGTGGTTTTGGAAAAGGAAGAGTCAAGATGACTCCCAGGTTTCAGCATTGCTTAAAATGATGTTGCCATTTTCTAAAATAAGGCTGACAAGTGAAGAAATCAGTTTTCAAGGAAAGGTAATTTCAGCTTTCTCCATTTCTGGTACAGCATTTCTAGGGTATATCCTTATAAAACAATTTAGTGATTGAATATATGTGTCTAGGTACAATATAAGGTTGGGGCTGATTTTGCATATGTCCTGTAGATGAAATGGACTCAATCAATCTTTAGTCTTTCTTCTAAATCACTGGACTACTTCCCTACCTAGGGGCCATTTCATTACCTCCTCCAATGTTCTGCTTGCCAAGAGTATGGCACATTGGGTTCTATTCCTTAGAAATGGAATAAATAGCTCTTATTTTTCTTAGGTGTTTGACTTTGGAATAGTGACTTTAATTTTGAGGTCCAAGGTCTTCATCCTTAAACTGTGTTATGAGGATCAAACATAAATATGTTGGAGAGAGTATGTAGCATAGGGTCTGAAAATTATAGCTGCTCAATAAAAGCCAGTTTCCTGCCCCTCCTTTTTTTCTGTTAATAGAGGTGTTTTAAATACCTTGGCAGTAAATAATTCCTGATCTTCTGCCTAATTATTTTCAGAAAGGAATTGAGTGACTTCTCTTCCCTAAGCTCATAGTGTAAGCTTACATTTCAAGGAACATCTGCTTCAAGGAGGAAAGATTTGGGTGGAATCACCGTGTACTGTGGAATAGTATTTCATTTTACACAATAGTAATAGAGGCCTTGCTGATTTTAATTGTGCCACTGGCTGTGTTATCTCAAGCAACCTCTCTGGCCCTCCTTTTCTGTAAAAATGGCTACTAGTTGATTATAAGTTTTTTGTACATATGAAATAATATCAATAGAGTTATGTTTAATTCCTAAGCTTCAAACCATTTTCCTGACTAGGCTCAGGAAGCTAGTGTGTCCCAGCATATCAATGGAATGTTTGCAATCACTAGAGCTAATTAGTAGTCAAGATATCTGGCAGAGCTTATTAACCCAGGCTCCTTGTGCTGCTTTCGCCAGTGAAGCTTGATTGGCTTGAGCCTTGGATGATGAACAAAGCTATTTTGTTCTGTGTTTTTGGCATTTTCTATTGCCTGTTTCAAATCCTATACAACAAATTGGTGGATCTCAAAATCCAGCACCTGGACCAGCAGTATTAGCGTTACCAGGGAATTTTTTTTTTTTTTAGAAATGAAAAAACTCAGGCTCCAACTTAGAGCTACTAAATCAAAAACCCTGTGGGTGGAGACCAGAAATCTAGTTCAAGAAGCCTCCAGGTGATTCTAATGAAGACTAAAGTTGAAGAACCATTGCTTGTTAGTCAAAATCACCAACATCAGTGTCACCTGAAGCTAGTTAGAAAATGTAGACTCTCAGGCTTACCCCAGACCTAATGAATTAGAATCTGTAGTTTAACAAGATACACAAGTGATTCATGTACACATTAAAGTATAAGAAAGACTGAGTGCAGTGGTTCACACCTGTAATCTCAGTGCAATGAGAGGCCAATGTGGGAGGACTGCATAAGCCCAAGAATTCAAGACCAGCCTGGGAAACATGGTAAGACCTCTATGGGAGGATTGCATAAGCCCAAGAATTCAAGACCAGCCTGGGAAACATGGTAAGACCTCTATCTCTACAAATAAAAAAAAATTTGGCCAAGCATGGTGGTGCACACCCATGGTCCCAGGTACTCAGGAGGCTAAGACAGGAGGATCAATTGAACTTGGGAGGCTAAGGCTGCAGTGAGCCATGATCATGCCACTGTACTCCATCCTGGGTGACAGAGTGGGATCCTGTCTCAAAGTTTAAGAAGCATGACTCTAGACAGAATTATCATTACATGTAGACAGATCCATTGTCTAATTAGAGGGTCTCTACATGCTTAAGGTTGTATTATATTTATTCCAAAATTATCCCTATATCTATCCATAGTTCCCACTTAAGCCCTTTTTAAAGGTGAGCCTTAGAAAATTCAATAAGGTACCTTTAGAAAAAGATCGCTAGCATTTTGGCTTTAAGCAATAAATGTTTGACAAATTATCCATCTTTATTAATAGAAATTTAGATCATTGTTTCATTCTCACTGCTATATATTCTCAACTGTATAGATATCTCACCAAAAACCCTCCCATACCGCAAGTAAAACCTGTTGATTTAAAGCTTTTTTCCTAATTAATTTGTCTAAAGATATTGTGTTAATATTTGTCCAAAAATATTTTATTTTTGTTACAATAAAATATTGTAAATAATATTTACAATATTTTAAATCATTGTAATGCATACATATTAATACATGCTACTTTATATATTTTAGGAATAATTAATTCCTTTTTATTTTTTCCTTGCATCTTAAATTTGTTAAAAGAGCTCTCATAACAGTTATGTATTAATTAAAAGTTTAAAAACTGCCAAACAAATACATTCATTTCTTTATGTGCATTGTTGCTTTATCATCTGCATTTGATGATTCTAGTTTTTCACATCTCTTTGGTTCTAATTCTTTCATTTTTGTTCTCCAGTTTCTTGTGTTCCCTATTATCGTTGAATATATGTTCAATATTGCATGTGAAAAATTGCAAGATTGATTTGTGATGTATTATGTAGACAGCTTCCTCCAAAGGAGATATCATTTGGTTCTGTCAAGCACCAGAGCACATTACTAGTCAGTAACTACTTAAACCAAGTTTAGGTTTTGAAATTCCCTGATCCAAGAAAGTTAAACCTGGGATCAAATTCCCCATGTAATAACTGCCTCACTTTCTGTTCTCCTTAACCTTGACGGCACAACCTTTAGGGAATCCCAGCTTGGAATAGAGATGCTCAAATCTAAATCTGCTAAAATATATCTTATGCTGGTTCTGAATTCTAAGTTACGTTGCTCTCACCTCACAAAATGGAGAAAACTAGGAGTCCAATTTTATGTTATCAGCAAATGCTCTCAGGGCAAAAGTGGCTTCAATGTTTTCCTCTCAGTCTGGATCCTTGTTTTCTCTTCACTTTTGGCTTGGCTCTTCCTCACTGCCTTTCCATAATGCTTTTATGAAAGATTTAAAATTATTTTTAATTAAAAATGTTTGTCTAGCTATATATTTCTGTGACGTGGCATGAGTGATCTGAATAGCTTCACTGACCGTTACAGAAACAGGTGGGCTTCCTCTCTGTTTTTTAACTATGTCCAAAAATAATGGGATTTTGATGATATTAGGAACTTCAGCACCTATATGAAATCTGCTTATCTCATAAATGAGATATCTATTTTGATAACCTGTTAACAAGAGGACCTGGCAGGTCATAGCTACCTTGTATTTCAGGTATTTGCAGAGAAGGTGCATAAAGGAGGAGAGTTACTGTGACCAAAGGAGAAAGATGCTCTAAAATCAGCTCACGGATTGGCTTCCATCTGGGTGTTCTGCTGCTTTCAACTTAGTCTCCTCTCTCTAGCATTAATTGTCACCTGTTGTTTTTCCTCCGGTGTCCTTACTTTCTATTCTTCACTATATTATCGTGCCTCTTTGGCTTGCTTTCTTTCTCTCTACTCGGATTTCTTTCTTTCTGTGCAACTAAACTCATTGTTTTTCTTTGTGCTGCTTGCGATGGCTTTCTGATGGTTACTTTCTGTGTCATTTACTTAGTTATTTTTCCTCTTCACCTGTGATATTTGGGCTATTTTATACTAATCTAAATATTATTTCTTTCCTTTAGAAATACTTTTTTATGTGTGTGTGGGCGGTGGGGAGCGGGGAGAGAAGGTAAGAGAAAAAGACTAAAAAGATGTCCTTCTACAGGAAAATAATATCCCTTTCTATCAGCTGCTTCTACTTTCTTTTACTTCAAGATTTCCCCATTTATATCAACTCACCCACAACAAAATCCATTAAAAGGTTTAGTTGACTTGCTAGCACATCATTAAACATCCATTTCAGTTATGTGTGTACTATCACTACATGTACATAATTATTGCTAGCTACAGTGCTAGCTAGCTGGATTTATTCTTCCTAACAAAACTCCTTATTCTGTTTCCTATAATGTCAGTAGCAGCTACACACCCAATCCTCATAGTTGCCAACAGCAACCATTTCTGATTTCCTGACCCTCCCTTACAAACGGCAACAACAAAAAAAGAATAGGATCCAGTAAAAACATCTTGATTTAAAAGCATCTTGATTTTCTGGAACAAGTCTGTTCTTCCAATCATCAAAACAGATTATCCATGTCTCCTTATTTCAATACATAAACATTTTCTTCTTCAGAATGACCCCCCACTTCACCAGCTACATGAGGTTGTCAGTGAGTTAATTGACAATTCTAACTCTATATTTAAATTGTCTGATTAAATCCATGGAGCAATGTCAGAAACGTCAGAGGAAGGAGTCATAGCTATGGAAAGAATACAGCTCTGAAATTTAGAAACGTGGGTTTTAGTTTTGGCTGTTACTAGCTAGTTGTAATCTGGACAAATTATTTAATCCTCTATGTCTGTTTCCTTTCTCATAGGATGAAATGGCTTGGTGAACTTTAGTCAAGTTAGTCAATATTCATGATAATGATAGAAAATTCTTATTTATATAATGTAAAACAAACTCTGCAAAGTGCCATATATTCCTTATTTATTATTTCATTTATCATTTTAAGAACTCAGTAAAGTAAGCGTACTTACTATCTACTAATCAGGAAATTAAAACTCAGATTATGCAGTTTTCAAAATGAAATATTAATACATGTCAGGGCCAGGTTTCAAATCACATTATTCAACTCTTTGAATTTGCATTACACTTCTCTTCTATTCTTAGCATGATTACGGGCCACGTCCTTTTGGCTACCAGTTATGATTTAATAGTGTTCCCTAAAACGTCATCTAAAAATAAAATAATACATATAGCCAAATGCTAATTATATAGCAGTAGCAGAGGTATTCAGGAAATTCGTCAGTTTTCTTTTTCTTCCCAGTTCCTGTGAGTCATTGCTCATTGTGTGAAATAAGATGCCCTCAGGTGAATAGCTAACTTTGTTAGAAAAACACCATCAACCATGAGCAATCGTGACAATAAGGATTTTCCTGTCAAGTAGTACTTTTGGATTAGACACAATACCATTGTTAAGTAGTGGGGAGTCCAGCTGCCTGGCTTCTTTCCTTAAATGTGTAACTAAGCATACTCACTGTTACCCACTGAAAGCCAATTAGTATTTGCAACCTGAAGAGCCATCTTTGGGGAGCAAATTTCTAACTGGATAACTGACCAAACTAACTCAGTATCATTTATAAATTTAATGATGCTTGTTTGACTAAGAAAGCTTTAATGAATAACTATAATTAATGGCAAATTATTTTTCTTACATATATATTAAGATTTATAATCCAAGAACTTCCTAGAACATGACACTTTAATGTGTTTTCTTATCAAGGGTTATCTATTCTTTTGGCATCTGTGTGATAAATACAGAATGTTTCTCAGCTCATACGTTTTCTGGAAAAAGATCTGTGACTGTGACAGTGGGTGAGAGGAATGGGGAATTAGAAAAAGAAATAACACTTTAAGGGAGACATGGACTGTGACTAAGGAATAGAAAGGGAAAGCCAAAAATGGTTGAGGATTCATTACTAAAAATGTCAGCGGGATAGTGAATAAAAGCTGAGTGGTCTACAGTGTAGTCTTTAAGATCATATTTTAAGCCTAAAAACAAAGATTTTTATAAACTTTTATTGATTCATGGCTCAGTTGGGAGTAAAACGCACAATTATACCTATAGTAAGACAAAGCTAAACCAATTCACTGGAGACAGGAAATGATTTATCAGTTGGAAAAAGACCAACAAAACTAAGGCACATTCAACTTTGTACTTCTAAACTAAGCACTAATTAAAAGCCACCAGCTGTTCCTCGAACAATATATCCTGCTAATTCAGATGACTTTAAATCTTGTTGCCCAAATACATTAAAAGTTAATATTTCCCTGCTTCTCAAAGTGCTTCTTATGTTCTGCCATACCCCAAGAAGAAGTTGGTGATTACTGGAGAGGGTATCGTGACTATTTTCTCTTAGATTGATGAAGTTTGTCATACTTTATCCCCAGGGAAAGTTAAAAAAAAATCTGTTGATTCCTTACAATTCTCTAAAGGAGTAAATCTAGGCAACTGTGCAGAATTTGATAGAATTAGAAGGCAATGAGTTTTTCTCTCTCACTAATTCAAACTTACTAATATAATATTATAGTCTAGTCAAAAACTTCTAGTAGATATGGTTGTAAGAAGTCAGGATAGCAAAAGCATTTTATGCCACTTTGGAATTGTGATTGTTACCTGTGTTTTTGTATAGAAAATTCTTTTTCATGGCGTTGAGCTACTAATAGTTACTTCCATGAGTAACAGTTCATAAATATTCAAAATGTGCTAGGAATAATTTCTGGATTTTTGCTTTCTTTTAGAGCTCTTGCCTGTGCTGCCAAAAGTCATTTGTGACTAGGTTAGTGAATTAGACAAGAGTAGATTCTCATCAGAGCTCCTGAGGGTCAGATATCATAGTCATTGTCTTTGTTGCAAAGCATTGACTGAAGAGTAAAAAGAAATAAAGATATGTGCAATTGGTCCTGTTTATTTCTTTTAGTGATCTCAGGAATCTTAAGAGCAGCTATAGAAACAAAGTTATAGGGTGAATTTTGATGACCATCTTGTAAGGTCAAGAATCCCATGTTGTCATTCTAAAGAATGACATCTGAGTTACCATCTGGTAACTCATTTATTTTATAAATATTTATTGAGTACCACTCTATCATGCATTGTTTTATGTTCTGGGGTTAAAGCATCAATCAAGATAGTCAAGGTCAAAATTCTCACGTAATGCATACAGAGAAAAAATAAAAAAAGAAAAATATTAGACAACTATAAGCACTATACAGAAAATTAAAATAGGGTAATAGAGAGTGATTTGGAGGCCACTTGAGACTAGAATAAGAAAAAGACTTCTTGGAAGAGGTGACATTTCAGCTATACCCAGATTAAATAGAAGAAGTTTCTTATCAGAGAACAGTTAGTAGACCTGTTCTATCTGTTAGAAACTAAGACTCTAAGGCAAACCCTACATAGTAGGTAACAGAAAGAACAATATGATTGGAGCATACGGTGGAAGGGGAAGTCCTACAAGGTAGGCAGAGGCCAGGTCATGATATTCTTTTTAAGTGTGTATGGATTTAATTCTAAGACACTAGGAAGCTTTAAATAGGAGAGTTATGTTATCTGATTAATATTTAGCCAGATTACCTTGGCTCCTGAGTGAATAAGGCATTTAGAGGTGGGGAGAGCTATTGAGTAGTCCATGTTATAAAAGATGGTGGCCTGGACAAGAGTGGTAGAAATAAGAGTAAAGTGAAGGTAAAGTGAATTGATTTGGGATACATTTTGGAAGTGGAGCTGGTGAAACTTGCTAATAAAATGAATGTGGGTGTTTTGTGAATGAAAGGATTCATGGACAACTCAGGTTTTTGGTTTAATAAAAGCGGTGGATCTGTTTTCTAAGGGGAAGATAGAAGTAAGGCCAAATTTTGGAGAAAGGGGAGATTAACAGTTTTGTTTTGGCTTATATATTTAATATAATTAATTTAGTTTTTAGGGTAAATTCAATATGGCTGAGATAATGATGATTATAATAATTATTCTCTGTTTCATCTTGCTTTCTCTATAACTTCACAAATTCTCCAAGTTTGTTAACAATCCAATGAGGGAGAAATTCACAAACATTAACAAAAATATTAAATACTTACCGAAAGAAAATCATTCACCAAATTTGTTGAGTTCTTCATTCAATATTTACTATGTACTACTTGTTAATAGTAGTATATACTATGTGTACTATTTATAAAACTTGGAGTGAAACATAACTGAATAGCCTAAAAGACTCGTGTGTGTGTGTGTATGTGCATGTGTGTGTGTGTGTGTGTGTGATAGAATGGCATCTGTGTGATATCAGGATGGGGTATCACATTGAATGATGTTGTGGGCCGAATAGTGTCTCCCCTTAGTCCATTCTTATGCTGCTATAAAGGACTGCCTGAGATTGGGTAACTTATAAAGGAAAGAAGTTTAATTGACTCACAGTTCTGCAGTGCTATGGAGACCTCAGGAAACTTACAGTCATGGTGGAAGGGGAAACAAATACGTCCTTCTTCACATGATGGCAGGAAGGAGAAGTGCAGAGTGAAAGGTGGGGAACAAGCCTCTTATGGAACTACAATTCAAGATGAGATTTGGGTGGGGAAACAGCCAAACCATATTATCCCTCAAATTCATATGTTGAAGCCCTAACTCTCAGCACTAAGAATGTGACTGTATTTGGAAATGGGGCCTTTAAAGAGATAATTAAGGTAAAATTAGGGTGCACTGTGATCCAATGTGACTGTTGTCCTTAAAAGGAGGTTGGCTGTGCTGGCTCACGCCTGTATTCTGAGCACTTTAGAAGGCTGAGGAAGGTGGATCGCTTAAGTTCAGAAGTTTGAGACCAGCCTGGGCAACATGGTGAAATCCTGTCTCTACAAAAAATACACATACACACACACACACACAGAAAATTAGCTGTGCATTGTGGCGTATGCCTGTAATTGTAGCTACTAGGGAGCCTGAGGTGGGAGGATCACTTGAGCTCAGGTGGTCAAGACTGCAGTGAGCTGTGGCCATGCCACTGCACTCCTGCACTCCAGCCTGGGTGAGTAAGACACTGTCTCAAAAAATATTAAAAAAGGAGATTAAACAGACCCACAGAAGATCATATGAACACACAGATGAAAGGTTACCCACAAGTTGAGGGGTAAGGCCTTTGAAGAAATCAACCCAGTTGACATCTTGGTCTCAGATTCCTACTCTCCAGAACAGTGAAAAAATAAATCTTTTGTTTAAGCCACTGAGTCTGTAGAATTTTCTTAAGGCAGCCCTAGCAAATGACTACAAACAGCTACTGAATCTCTTCTACATACTTAGACTAACTGAGTAAGGCAAGCTCAGTCAGGAAGTAGATCACAGGTTGCAGCTTGGAATCCTCTTTTTTTTCTTTATTTTCCTCTAGGAATGCTCTCCTTTATAGGATACCTAACCATAACCTTAGGATCTCCTGGGATGTCTATTATGTTTATAAGGTGCTTTATTCTTCTTCCCTACTCACCATAATGTTGCAGGAGGTAGACCAGTTGGCACATTATTCTTATTCTCCTTAGATTTTGATATTAGCCTAATATGTTTACAAATAATGTTTTGTCTTATTGTTTTTCTGCTAAAATACTTGAAAATAGATTTTTGTTCATTATATGTAGATGGTATGTTTCAAATGGTCTGACTTAAATTTTAGGCAATGTAGTGGATTCACCCTGAAGGACATGCACCTCAAATTGTTGAGATATCTTTCAAAACAGTAAGAAACTGGTGTGACTGTTGAAGGACACACAACATGTACCAAGTCTCCATGCACAGAACAAACAGTGAGTTATAATATTAGATGAACTATAAGATAAAAATCCTATGGACAAATATTCTGAATTGTAAGCATTGATTTTTCTATCAATCTGCTTTTTATATAGGCAAAGGAATTTATCTAGCAAATCAAAAGGCAATATATGCCAAGTATTGCATGAGCAGAGTATTATATGTGTCTCCTATTAGCTTGCAAATATTAATGCTTTATATAGCATCATAAATATTACATTTTATCTCAATATTTGCAAAATTACCAAGGTCCTCCTTTTCTATGTCCTTTATTTAACAATGTGGCCTATCTTTTCCAAAGTTTCTTCTTTAGCAGGGTGTGATCCTCTGTGCCTCACAGGATAAGTGGAGTTCACATCGTTTTGTACTGTGATTGTGATCACAGCAGATAATTGCATAGTAGACAGAATTGTATAGAATAGTGTAAAAAGGATCAGATGGAGGAATAGGGCAGGAAACACAAGATCAGCATGGAAACAGCACAGTATAATTCTCAATGGTATTATAGCCATGAATTTCTTTATTCCAAAATTAATAATTTATTTTGATACTAAATCTATTCAATACCTTTCAAAAGGTCCAGCATTAAATATGCTGGCATTTTCCTTAATTGATGCTAAGATATGACACATTTAAAATCCTTTTGTAATTTTATATTTATTTTCTTAGATTCTAGGTGTCTAAGAGGGGTCAGCCCAAGAACTTGTTAATTGTTTGAAGTTGACAAGCCAGTGTAATCAGCTCTCTTGGGAATAGCTGGTTAATTTGCATCTTGGTGGGCTTCAGAAGATGATGTAAGTGATTTCTTTGTGACAGAGTGTCCGGGATCAATTATAACCTGGTCAATTCCAAGTTTGAAGATAGATATGGAAAATTTTGATTTCCATTCAATTTAACTTGACCTTTTTAGATATAAACAAGAGAAGTTATTTCAAAAAAGTTGTTTACAGAAAGAAAGGAGTCTAATGGAGACATTTTCAAAAATCAAAATATGAAAATCAGTGAAACTACATTGAAATAGCAATTACAAAATAGCTACTGAGCCTTTTCTGTTATTCATGGTCAAATTGCAGTTTAAATTGATTTCACCAGGACATATTTGAGGTTAATGTCTCTTATTTTTTAAAAAATAGTTTTATGGGATTTAACTGATACATAATAAGCTTCACATATATTAAGTGTACAATTTGATAAGTTTCGACATGTCATATAACCCATTAAATTATCGCCACAATTGCGATGACAAATATATCCATCTCCTTCCAAATGTTTCCTGGTGCCCGCTTTTTAATCCCTTCTCCCATTCTCACCCTACCATCTCCAGAATACCGTTATTCTGCTTTCTGTCACTGTGGATCGGTTTGCATTTTCTCGAATTTTATATAAATGGAATCATACAGTATGTCCTCCTTTCTGTTTGGCTTCTTTAACTCAGTGAAATTATTTTGAGATTCATCCAATTTGTTGTGTGCCAATAGTTCATTACTTTGTATTATTTAGTACTGATGCATTGTATCAATGTACCACGATTGTTTATATATTCACTTCTGGAGGGACATTTTGACTTTTGGACATTTTAATAAAGCTGCTGTAAACATCTGTGTGCAAGTCTGTGTGGATATACATTCTAATTTTGGGAGGAGAGGAGGTAAATATCTAGGAGTAGAATGCCTGGATTATATGGTCAGTGTATATTTATCATTTCAGAAATTTTTCTTTAACATTTTAAGTAATGGTTTTCCAAAGTTTTTGTACTATTTTACATTGAAACTAGCAGTGCATGGAAATTTTGCTTCCTTCACATTCTTACCACTACTTGGTATAGAGAGCCTTTTACCTTTTAGCCATCCTAAAAGCATATATTGGTATACAATTATGGTTTTAATATGCATTTATCTAATAAGTAAATATGTTGAGCATCATTTTATGTGTTTATGTACCATTCACTATTCTTTGTGTCTTTTCAAATATTTTCATATTTCCTATTCTGTTTATTATTGAGTATGAGTTATTTGTATATTCTGGATACAATTGTTTATCAGATATATGCTTTGAAATATTTTCTCCTATAAGTGTCTTTAAAAAGTAGAAACTTTTGATCGTCTGAATGCAGTGGTGTTTAGAACTAATTGATAACTACCAGTTACAGATTTCTTTGTTCCTTCTCCACCTCCACTGCGTCACTTGACTAGCCAAAAAAAAAAAGTAGAAGCTTTTAATTTTGATAAAGTCAATTTGTTCACTTTTTCTTTTAGGGCTTGTGTTTTATACATCATATTTAAGAAATATTTCCCTAATGCAAGTTAATAAATATTTTCTCATGTTTTCCTTGAGCAGTTTATTTTGGGTTTTACATTTAATTACATAATTCATTTTTAGTTTATTTTTAATATGAAGTATGTATTAAAGAATATTTTTCTACATATGAATATTGTCCAAGCATTATTTCCTTAAACTACCCTTTCTTCAGTTGATTGCATGTAAGCTTTGTTAAGAATCAGTCATTTATATGTGTTGGGTTGTTTGTGAAATCTCTATTCTGTTCCATTGGTATATGTGTCTACCTATATACCAGTGCCACACTGTCTGGATTACTATAACTTTAAGTGTTGCAATCCTGTAGGGTTAGTCTTTCATGTTTGTTCCTTTTCAACATTGCTTTGTTGCTTATAGGCCCTTGAACTTTATTATGAATTTTTGAGTGTGGCTTTTTTTCTTCTCCATGGTCTTGGCTATGTTGGCATCTACCTGGGCTCCCCACCCTGTGTTCTGTCTTTCATGGCAGTAAGCTGCGGCAATCATAAACTCACCTGATTTGTTTCCACCTCTCAAGAATCATGGTCATTAATTGTCTAGGTGTCCAGTGCCTATTTCATATATTCATTTTTTTCGGCTGTGTTAAGCAGAAAGATAAATCCAGTTCCTTTTACTCAATCTTTTGGACAGAAGTAGAGGTCCAAAATGAATCCCTTGGGCCTGTTTTAAACAAATTTCTTTCTGTAGTTCTTTCTGACTTGAGGAAGGACTCACCTTATCCTAGATATCTTATTCTGTCTCTTCCTAATAGGCTTTCTCAGATGTCTTCTCTGAGCAACTGTAGTGTAAGTGCACAGACTCTAGAGTCAGAGAGGTCTGCACCTGAATGCTTGTCTGTTAGTGAGAAGCTGTTGCTTAACTTACTAGCAATCTGTTTAACCTTTTCAGTTTTAGTTTCTTTATATGTAAGACTGTATTTCTAAAACTGAAGTTGAGAATTGAGAATTAAAGTAGAAATTAAATGAGTCAGCTTTATGCATAAAAACTTTTTATTACATAGCTTAACACAGGTTAAACCCTTGACAATGTTGACTGTTACAGTAATTGCTAATACTACTAATGTGACTACCTATACCATCATTACTTCTTACTACTATGGCCCTCAAACCTGAGTTTATATGTTTATGAAGTAGGTCTCTTATCATAGGTTGCAAATCGACTTAACCCATGTTTTAATAGAGCCAGATGTAGTCATACTACAATGACTTCTATTTATTTTTTTTGGTATCTATTACAAGGCCTAATAAAGGGCTTATCCTGAAGGAGGTGGTCAATACATATGGCAATACTGGATTTTTATTGTTCCACATGTTACCTCTATAGATATGTAACCATAACTGCAGTAAATATAAATGCTGCTTTTCTCGAGAAATTCCTAAACTGATACATAAAGAGACTTTGGGTTAAATGGTCCATACACATACTTATAGAAGATTCTTTCTTCAAAATTCTGTCTTCTAACCAATCTTTAGGAACACTAATGAAAATTTCAAATATATAGTGTGTGGATGTTTTGGCCTATTTAGGTACATGAAGTTTGACATGGGAGCATCTTCACCTTTTTGTTTTTAAGCAGATACAGCATGGTGAAGCTTAGTGGTTTATTTTTTTTTCTTTAAAAAATCTACCATAACAAAAAGTTCTTAAAAGTCTACTTAGTTACCTTGCAGTTACTTAGCTTACTTAATCTTTCTAGTTCTTAAACATCTATTCAAACAAAATGTTCTTCAGAATCCATCTATCTACCTATCTATTATCTATCTATCATCAAGGAGGAGGTGATCTAGTTCAAACGGGGTGGAAAGTTTAGAACGTGCTCTTTTCACCTTTTTGTAATCAGCCTCTACTTCACACACTCTTTTCTTCTGCACCTAAAACCACTCTATGGAGCAGCTTAAAGATTTTTGAAGTGTAATGTACACCACATTTGGGTACAATCAAAACTAAGTTCATACTGGGACCACCTGCTACCTATACATCGTTGGAAAAGTCGCTAAACCTTCCTGAACTTCAATTTCATCATTATACAGCTGGTGTAATAGTGCAGTATTGTTTACAAGATTAGAGATAAATTATAAAAAGCAATGGCATATAATAAGGCTGATCTCACTAGGCTTTTTTTAAAATTAGGTTATGATTTGAACAAAAAGGATGAAGAATGGTTTAGATTAATTAGAAACACTGTAAATTTCAGGATTTCCCTCAGAGCATTCCCCTTGGCAGAACGATGTGACTGTCTTTCTCCTAAAGGTAACCCCACATTGACCTGGCTGTAAAGGGGGCTTTGGAGATTTGGACTTAAATATGTTTAGATTGCATGAAAAAGTTTCTGTGAAACTCCTTTTGTTTTTTCTTTTGCATCGACTTTTTGAATGAAAAGTTCAGTAGGGAATGACAGAAAAAATGTAGTTATAGTTAATGAAATTGGACCTGAAGACTTTGTAACAAAGAATAGCAAAATCCAGGGCACCTGAGGAGGAAACACATTAGGCTCCTCGGGCAGTAGAGGCAGGGGATTTAATGATACTTGTCTTTCAGAAATGGCTCCTGGAGCCTTCCTCCCAGGAGGAAACCACCTGTACAGCTCTTTAGGTTGCTTTTGTGGGCCATTTATCCCACGCTACTTTCCAAGCTGCTGCAAGCACCTTGAATTCAAACAAACCATCCCTTTCCTGAAGTCTTTTACAGTGAGCGACCAGGGGATGGCCCCAGCTCCTGCTCTTTCCTCGAAGGACATTTCCCGATGTCTACACCTTGTGGAACAGATGAATTGGCATCAGCAAGCAGGGCTACTTGAAACTGACTGCCTTGAGGCAGTCCCTTTGATAGGGGCTGAACTTAACTTGAATTATTGGGACTAAACTGGGAGGTCCAGTGGGAGACCACATTGTGTGTGTATGTGTGAGGTATGGCAACCACTGCGATGTGTCTCATGAAGGGATCTCTAACAATTCTGTTTCCAGCAGTTCCGCATGTGTCCTCTGGAATTGTACTGTGTGTGTGTGTGTGTGTGTGTGTGTGTGTATGTGTGTGTAAACAAGTCCTGTCTCATGAAAACCCCATGATTTCCACCTTGGGGTTGTTATCAGGAACATCCCAGTGCTTATGGAAAACACCTGGTAGAAGACTAAATCCTCAGACATGTGTTCTGCAGGAAGCTTACCTACAGGGAATATTATTCCCTTAGAAAGATTACATGAAATTTGTCCCTGACTTTTGCTGAGGTAACAATGACGCTCATCTCAGCCTAAAGGTCATTCAGGGCAGCTCCAGCTTATGGATCAAAAATGTATGGATGATAGTGTTTGCCATAGTTTTTTCATTATAAGCCAAGGCAAAGTATGCGCAAATTATTAATACATCCTGTTGTACCAGGGTATATGCTTTGGATTAGGTAGACAAGAAACTGAAAGAGGAAGCTAAAATCACTAACTCAAGCTAAGCATTTTTTGGTGACTTATGCTAAAGAAAGCTTAATGAAGCAAAAATATACTGATGGGGAATCAGAAGACAGCCCATAGTCCTATATCTATTATTTGTGTGGTTTGTTGACTTTAGCCAAATAATTGAATATCTCTGACACTTAATTTCCCTATTTGTTGAATAAGGAAATTGAGTTAATTACATTTTTTCTTCAGAAATTATTTTCTGATTCTGATTCTAAAATGGCCAGGAATACAGTACAATATTAGTGAAATTATCAGTGGTATGTTTTATAGGAAGGGAAGATGTTTTTGAAAGGGATTTGTTGCCAATAAGCCATGGTCACTTTTCCAATAAGCCATGGTCAATATCCTACCACTTAACCTATCTGCATGACTAGAGTTGCCTGCCAAAATAAATATTTCTTAGAGTAAGAGGTAGAGAACATAATGGAATAGAGAAGAGTTTATATGAGGTTTCTATTCAAAGCCTTTCAAAATGAGATTTCTTTTATTGCAATGAATAAAATGAACACAGCAGCAAAGAAAGATGCTGTTCTAGGAATTTTCTCTATCTCTGAAGTGGATTTTATTAGAACAGTAACAAGTATATAGTTAAAGAAGTCTGTACCTCATAATTTATGGCATAAAGTTAGTGGGTCTTTTACACCTTTAAGATCTATTTAACGGTTAACTCTAGAATTATTATTCTATTGTTAAGGTTAAGATTAGAGCTATGAAAGTAAACTCTACATATAGAATGTTCAATTCAAAAACTATTTTTTATTGAGCAACTTCCTGCTCTGTCATAGTACTCAATATGCACAGTACATTTAGAAAGAAGTGTCATAGGTAGATCCATTGAGTCATAATGAGTTCTATCTGGATGACTATATATTGTTACCTTAAATTGGAAATGTAAGAAGCAATGTAATAATTGTTCTATTTAAATTTTTTTAAAAATAATTTTGATTCAGCTTGGACTCATAAGGTTACTGTGACATTGTTTGTAGTGACATTTAAAAAACAAAATTTATGTGTTTAGGGTTGAAGTAATGGTTTTAGTTTTGGCAGAAAGGAAAAAATGTTTTTCATAGAAAGACAGAATTAAATTATAAACAACCACTTAAATGACAGCTAATCCATAAAAATTTATTTTATTCAAACATCGTTGTCTTATATTAAGAATGGATGTTTTGCCATAAGAAGCCATGTTCCAGGCTAAGAAGTTGGCTTATCGGAAGGGTAAGCCAAATTTACATTCCTGGAACTTCTGTTTAGTTCTGCATTGCTTTCTGTTCAATTTCTCAGTGCCAGGCCACCAGTCGGCATTATTAGTCCCTTTCCTTAACAATACTTCATTGACACTGCAATGGACTCTACACTAATTTTAATCATTACAATGACACAAAAATGTTGCTTAACCAGACTATATTTCAGAAACTTATTTTAATCTTCTTTAGGAGTTTGTAAAAATGAGAGTGAAATGTCAACCCAACCATGGAGCCTGCCTGGTAGTGTTCTATCAGTTTCCACTTTAATTTTCCAGTCACTTTTACATAATGTACTTCTTATTGATACTGCCATTCTTTAGAAAGCAATAATAAACACAATTTAAAAGAATCATAGTGACTTTCTTTTTTAAATTTCATTATTATTATACTTAAAGTTTTAGGGTACATGTACACAATGTGCAGGTTAGTTACATATGTATACATGTGCCATGCTGGTGTGCTGCACCCATTAACTCATTATTTAGCATTAGGTATATCTCCTAAAGCTATCCCTCCCCCCTCCCCCCACCCCACAACAGTCCCCAGAGTGTGATGTTCCCCTTCCTGTGTCCATGTGTTCTCATTGTTCAATTCCCATCTATGAGTGAGAATATGCCGTGTTTGGTTTTTTGTTCTTGCGATAATTTACTGAGAATGATGATTTCCAATTTAATCCATGTCCCACAAAGGACATGAACTCATCATTTTTTATGGCTGCATAGTATTCCATGGTGTATATGTGCCACATTTTCTTAATCCAGTCTATCATTGTTGGACATCTGGGTTGGTTCCAAGTCTTTGCTATTATGAATAGTGCCACAATAAACACTCAGCCCTGCACTCAGCGGACCTAATAGACATCTACAGAACTCTCCACCCCAAATCAACAGAATATATATTTTTTTCAGCACCACACCACACCTATTCCAAAATTGACTACATAGTTGGAAGTAAAGCTCTCTTCAGCAAATGTAAAAGATCAGAAATTATAACAAACTGTCTCTCAGACCACCGTGCAATCATACTACAACTCAGGATTAAGAAACTCACTCAAAACCGCTCAACTACATGGAAACTGAACAACCTGCTCCTGAATGACTACTGGGTACATAACGAAATGAAGGCAGAAATAAAGATGTTCTTTGAAAGCAACGAGAACAAAGACACAACATACCAGAATCTCTGGGACGCATTCAAAGCAGTGTGTAGAGGGAAATTTATAGCACTAAATGCCCACAAGAGAAAGCAGGAAAGATCCAAAATTGACACCCTAACATCACAATTAAAAGAACTAGAAAAGCAAGAGCAAACACATTCAAAAGCTAGCAGAAGGCAAGAAATAACTAAAATCAGAGCAGAACTGAAGGAAATAGAGACACAAAAAACCCTTCAAAAAATTAATGAATCCAGGAGCTGGTTTTTTGAAAGGATCGACAAAATTGATAGACCGCTAGCAAGACTAATAAGAAAACAGAGAAGAATCAAATAGACGCAATAAAAAATGATAAAGGGGATATCACCACCGATTCCACAGAAATACAAACTACCGTCAGAGAATACTACAAACACCCCTACGCAAATAAAATAGAAAATCTAGAAGAAATGGATAAATTCCTCGACACATACACCCTCCCAAGATTAAACCAGGAAGAAGTTGAATCTCTGAATAGACCAATAACAGGTTCTGAAGTTGTGGCAATAATCAATAGCTTACCAACCAAAAAGAGTCCAGGACCAGATGGATTCACAGCCGAATTCTACAAGAGGTACAAGGAGGAAATGGTACCATTCCTTCTGAAACTATTCCAATCAATAGAAAAAGAGGGAATCCTCCCTAACTCATTTTATAAGGCCAGCATCATTCTGATACCAAAGCTGGGTAGAGACACAACCAAAAAAGAGAATTTTAGACCAATATCCTTGATGAACATTGATGCAAAAATCCTCATTAAAATACTGGCAAACCAAATCCAGCAGCACATCAAAAAGCTTATCCACCATGATCAAGTGGGCTTCATCCCTGGGATGCAAGGCTGGTTCAATATATGCAAATCAATAAATGTAATCCAGCATATAAACAGAACCAAAGACAAAAACCACATGATTATCTCAATAGATGCAGAAAGGCCTTTGACAAAATTCAGCAACCCTTCATGCTAAGAACTCTCAGTAAATTAGGTATTGATGGGATGTTTCTCAAAATAATAAGAGCTATCTATGACAAACCCACAGCCAATATCATACTGAATGGGCAAGAATCATAGTGACTTTCATTATATATGCCTTTTGTTTACAGGCACAGAAAAATGAGAAATTTGTTTTAAAAGTGAATATTGAGCTCCTATTACCACCCTTGGTGAAAGGGTGAGTGGGTGGGTGGATGCGTGGATGGATAGAGCCTTGGGTCAAAAGAGTAAAACCTCTGGCTACCAAAATCAAGATTCTATTTTATCTGAGAGTCAGCATAAAGTGAACCAGCCAGAGCTGTCCACGCCATCGCGCCTCCCAAACTGAAGTTTTCATGTGAGCTTCAAGAAAATCTAAATTCACACATGTTCTGACTTTGGAGCAAAATGCTCAAAATGAGTAATGGTTACTACTGTGCAGCATGTTCTCCAAAGTTAATGCATCATTTTGACAAAAGCTAAACTCCCTATATATTCATATCCATTCTTATTCTCTCTCTCTCTCTCTCTTATTCTCTCTCTCTTTCTCTCTATTATCTCTCTCTCTCTTATTCTCTCTCTCTTCTTGTCTCTCTCTTATTGTCTCTCTCTTATTCTCTCTCTCTTATTTTCTCTCTCTCTCATATTCTCTAGTAAAAATAAGGCCCTAGATCTCCTGCTTTGACTTTCGTATACCCCTCTGGCTTACAAAATTTTTAAATAGACCATGATTCCTCCTAATTTTTCTATCTCTTTGAGATGTCAACAAATGCTGAGAATTATGCTAGACAAATAGTTAAATGTATTTAGAGGTCAATTTTTGTGTAACCTTGAACAATTCATCTAATAATGGGAACCTCAGGTTTTTATTTATTTATTTATTTATTTTTTGAGATGGGGTCTCGCTCTGTGGCCCAGGCTGGAGTGCAGTGGCTCGATCTCGGCTCACTGCAAGCTCCGTCTCCTAGGTTCCCAACATTCTCCTGCCTCAGCCTCCTGAGTAGCTGGGACTACAGGCGCCTGCCACCATGCCTGGCTAATTTTTTATATTTGTTAGTAGAGACAGGGTTTCACCGTGTTAGTCAGGATGGTCTTGATCTCCTGACCTCATGATCCACCCGCCTCGGCCTCCCAAAGTGCTGGGATTACAGGTGTGAGCCACCGCGCCCAGCCTTAATTTCTTAATGAATTTCTTGATGTTTTAAATTCAGTTATCTTCCAGATCTTTTGTAGAGTTTTCATCAGAGTAGCTGTGTGTGTGTATCTGCCCCCAACAACATGTTTGTCTACACATACCACACCCCTCACCTCTTTGATCCATACCTCAGAGACTTAGCCTATATGTACCACAACTACACCAAGGCTCCCTTGCCCTTTGACTTCTAGTTGGGTTCTGCAAATCAACAGTCACGAGCAGATCATAATCCTGGAGAAAGAAGAGGTCCTCCGTGTATATTTCCCTGGCTCTGCTCCTCTCTTGCTTGTACTGGGGTTGGAAGAGGCTATGTTCCTCTACCAAAGACCAAACAAGTCTTGTTAAGAGGTCCAGCTCCTAGAGTTAGTTATCTTGCTAGCTGTGTTCTTGTCAGCTCTCCTGGGCTTCTCAGGCCTAGCAGTATTAACGAATGATGTCACTTGTCTCAGGATATTTCACGATCCTTTAATGGATTCCTATAAACCTGAACACATGTTTATGAACACTTTCTCCATTAAACTCTTTGCAATAATTAATTTGTGCATTCTATTTCCTGCCATGACTACCACTGATGGACTGGGTAAATTGTCCTTTCTTTTAGTTATTTTCTTAGATTTTCTAATTAGCATAGAATTAAAGTTAAGACACATATCAATTTGCTAAAAATAAAGATAAGCTTTGAACATTGAGGCAACATATATAAATATTGGGGGCACTTATAGTCTAATAGCTTTTTTTAAAGCAATATCTTACCAAATCAATACATAAATAATAAAGATAATAAATTTTAATTTGCTTTTCCCTGATGACATATGATGGGGAGCATCTTTTTATATGCTTATTTGCCATCTGTATATCTTTTTAAAAATTATACTTTAAGTTCTAGGATACATGCGCAGAATGTGCAGGTTTGTTATATAGGTATACCTTGCCATGGGGGTTTGCTGCACCCATCAACCCATCATCTACATTAGGTACTTCTCCTAATGCTATCCTTCCCCTAGTGGCCCAGCCCCTGACAGGCCCCGGTGTGTGATGTTCCAATCCTGTGTCCGTGTCCATGTGTTCTCATTGTTCAATTCCCACTTATGAGTGAGAACATGTGGTGTTTGGTTTTGTTTCTGTGTTAGTTTGCTGAGAACGATGGTTTCCAGCTTCATCCATGTCCCTGCAAAGGACATGAACTCATCCTTTTTTATGGCTGCATAGTATTCCATGGTGTATATGTCACATTTTCGTTATCTAGTCTATCACTGATGGGTATTTGGGTTGGTTCCAAGTCTTTGCTGTTGTGAATAGTGCGGCAATAAACATATGTGTGCATGTGTCTTTATAGCAGAATTATTTGTAATCCTTTGGTTATATACTCAGTAATGGGATTACTGGGTCAAATGGTATTTCTGGTTCTAGATCCTTGAGGAATTGCCACACTGTCTTCCACAATGGTTGAATTAATTTACACACCCACCAACAGTATAAAAGTGTTTCTATTTCTCCACGTCCTTGCCAGCATCTGTTCTTTCCTGACTTCTTAGTGATCGCCATTCTACCTGGTGTGAGATGGTATCTCACTGTGATTTTAATTTGCATTTTTCTAATGACCAGTGATGATGAGCATTTTTTCATATATTTGTTGGCCGCATAAATGTCTTCTTTTGAGAAGTGTCTGTTGATACCCTTTGCCCACTTTCTGATAGTTTTTTTTTCTTGTAAATTTGTTTAGGTTCTTTGTAGATTCTAGATATTAGCCCTTTGTCAGATGGATAGATTACAAAATTTTTCTCCCATTCTTTAGGTTGCCTGTTCACTCTAATGATAGTTGCTTTTGCTGTGCATAAGCTCTTCAGTTTAATTAGATCCCATTTGTCAATTTCAGCTTTTGTTGACATTGCTTTTGGTGTTTTAGTCATGAAGTCTTTGCTCATGCCTATGTCCTGAATGGCATTGCCTAGGTTTTCTTCAGACCACTCCTATTCAACATAGTATTGGAAGTTCTGGCCAGGGCAGTCAGGCAAGAGAAAGAAATAAAGGGTGTTCAATTAGGAAAAGGGGAAGTCAAATTGTTTGTTTGCAGGTGACATGATTGTATATTTAGAAAACCCCATCATCTCAGCCCCAAATCTCCTTAAGCTGATAAGCAACTTCAGCAAATTCTCAGGATACAAAATCAATGTGCACAAATCACAAGCATTCCTATAGGCTGATAATAGACAGAGAGCCAAATCATGAGTGAACTCCCATTCACAATTGTTACAAAGAGAATAAAATACCTAGAAATACAACTTACAAGGGATGTAAAGGACCTCTTCAAGGAGAACTACAAACCACTGCTCAAGGAAATAAGAGGACACAAACAAATGGAAAAACATTCCATGCTCATGGACAGAAAGAATCAATATCATGAAAATGGCCATACTGCCCAAAGTAATTATGGATTCAATGCTATCCCCATCAAACTACCATTGACTTTCTTCAGAGAATTAGAAAAAACTACTTTAAATTTCATATGGAACCAAAAAAGAACCTGTATACCCAAGACAATCCTAAGTGAAAAGAACAAAGCTGGAGGCATCATGCTACCTGGCTTCAAACTTTCCTACGAGCCTACAGTAACCAAAACAGCCCGGTCCAGGTACCAAAACAGAGATATAGACCAATGGAACAGAACAGAGGCCTCAGAAATAACGTCACACATCTACAACCATCTCTTCTTTGACAAATCTGACAAAAACAAGAAATGGGGAAAGGATTCCCTATTTAATAAATGGTGCTGGGAAAACTGGCTAGCCATATGCAGAAAACTGAAACTGGACCCCTTCCTTACAACTTATACAAAAATTAACTCAAGATGGATTAAAGACTTAACCGTAAGACCTAAAACCATCCTTATGTCTTCTTTGGTGAGTTGTCTATCTAGGGTTTTTTGCCCATTTTTTAATTGGTTTGTTCATTTTCTTATTGTTCAGTCTTAAGACTTCTTTGTATATTTTAGATGATGGCCTTTATCAAATATGTCTTTCACAAACATTTTCTCCAAGTTTGCAGTTTTTCTTCTCATTTTTTAAAAAAATTAGGTGATATTTGATCCTAAAGTGATGTATTTGTACTAATGAAAACATTGACTATTTGGTTAAAGTGTAATTGAGGAAATGCACTTGAAATTATAGAATTAGCTATACGATACTTTATAAAGATATTTATTGTAAATATTTTCAACTTAAAAAGAATTGTTTTGAAGTATTGGAAGTCATCACTGGTCAGTGATTTTTAGCGTGAAAATACAGATTGTGTCTACTTGCTCTTTCTTGGCACATCATCTTAAAAGGATGTATATTTTGTAGCTGTAATTTTTAAAGTCACAAGTTTTACGTTTTTATTCAATACTGACTCAAAATCAGGAGGCATATTATTTACTATTAATAATTTTCTGTAGCTAAAACTATTAGTGGACTGGCTTTCAGATGCTACTTTTCTTATTCACTCAATAAAACCATTGCTATCCATGTTCATATAACCAAAACTCCCTAGACCAGCTCTCTCTTAAAAGTTAATAGTAATTATCTTAGTCAGCTAGAGCTGCCATAACAGAATCTCATGGACTAGGTGGTTTAAGTAACAGAAATTAATTTTCTAACAGTTCTGGAGGCTGGCAGTGTGAAATCAGGGTGGTAACATTATTGTGTTTTGATGAAGACTCTCTTCCTGGCTTGCAGCCTGCTATCTTCTCATTGTGTCCTCACATGGAGAGGCAGAGGTTGGGGGTAGAGAGGAGCGATCTTTCTCTTCTTGTTATGGCACAGTCCGAAAGGATTAAGATCCTACTCTTACGATTTCACTTAACCTTCATTATCTCCAAAAGATCCTATCCCCATGTACAGTCACACTTGGGCTTAGGGCTTCAACGTATGAATTTTTAGGGCACACTATTCAGTCCATAGCATTAATTCAGTATTTTTTTAAGTCTTCCATTTGGCATGGGCATAAGTTTTTAATACAAAGGAAAACAAAGTGATTGAGGGCTCCTTTCTCACATACATCAAGGCTTCATTTATATTCCAGATTATATTCCAGATTCAAAAAATATATCAATTTGTAAAGCTATTGCACAGACATAGAAATAGTTGTCTCTTTCACATTGCATGTCTTACATATTATGCCACAAGAACAAATACCATTTATTAAATAATTTTGCCAAATGTTTATTCTGCTTTTTCCCTGAGCATGTTTGCCTTTACATCATTTGGCATATTTCTCAGCATTAATACTTTTTTTTTTTTTTTTTTGCTATGAGAATGGCAACCTTGAAAGATGCCCTATAAACTAGGTTCTTTTATGATTATTATTATTATTATTATACTTTAACTTTTAGGGTACATGTGCACAATGTGCAGGTTTGTTACATATGTATACATGTGCCATGCTGGTGCGCTGCACCCACTAACTCGTCATCTAGCATTAGGTATATCTCCCAATGCTATCCCTCCCCCCTCCCCCAACCCCACAACAGTCCCCAGAGTGTGATGTTCCCCTTCCTGTGTCCATGTGTTCTCATTGTTCAATTCCCACCTATGAGTGAGAAATAAAAAATGATGAGTTCATGTCCTTTGTAGGGACATGGATGAAATTGGAAATCATCATTCTCAGTAAACTATCGCAAGAACAAAAAACCAAACTAGGTTCTTTTCTGTGTTTAATGATGAACTTTATCAACATTATAATGAAAAGAATTACTTTGTGCTCATTGTGCTAGTTCTATTTTTAGTTTTTGAGAAATCTCCATACTGTTTTCCATAATGGCTGTAATAATTTACATTCCCACCAACAGTGTGTAAGAGTTCCCTTTTCTCTGTATCCTTGCCATTATCTGTTTTTTGTTTGTCTTTTTGATAGCAGTCATGCCAACTGGGGTAAGATAATATCTCATTGTAGTTTTGATTTTCATTTCCCTGATTAGTGATGTTGTGCATTTTTTTCATAGAGCATTTTTTTCATATACCTATTGGCCATTTGTATGTCTTTTGAGAAATGTCTATTCATGTCCTTTGCTCACTTTTTAATGAGATTGTTTATTGTTGTTGGGTTTTTTGCTGTTGAGTTTTTTGATTTCCTTGTATATTCTGGATATCAGTTTCTTGTCAGATGAGTAGTTCAGAAATATTTTCTCCCATTTAACTTTATATTGTCTCTCCGTTATATTGGTTGTTTCTTTGCTGTCCAGAAGCTTTTTAACTTAAAATAGTCCAATTTATCTATTTTTGTTTTTGTTGCTTGTGCTTTTGAGATCTTAGTCATAAAATCTTTTTCCTGTAGTATTTACGTTTTCTTCTAATTTTGTATTTTCAGGTCTTATGTTTAAGTCTTTAATACATTTTGAGTTGATTTCTGTGATTGTGAGAGATAGGGGTTTAGTTTCATTTTTTGCACATAGATATCTACTTTTCCCAGCACTATTTATTGAATAAGCTCTCCATTACCCAGTGTATGTTCTTAGCACCCTTGTTTAAAATCAGTTGGCTGTAAATACATGGATTTATTTCCTGAAAGTTTGTAAAAACAGTGTATCTGTTTTTATACCAATTCCATGCAGTTTTGGTTACTATAACCTTGTACTATATTTTGAAGTCAGGTAGTGTGATGCCTTCAGCTTTGAATAGCTCCAGCTCAGGATTGCTTTGGCTGTTTGGATTCTTTATTTATTTTTTCTTTTTTTTTTGATTCCATACAAATTTTAGGACTTTTTCTCTAATTCTGTTAAAAATGATGTTGATATTTTGATAGCGATTGCACTGAATTTGTAGATTGCTTTGGGTAGTACTGTCATTTTAACAATATTAGTTTTTTGGTTCATGAGCATGTTATGTTTTTCCATTTGTTTATGTCTTCTATCTCTTTCATCAGTGTTTTGTAGTTTTCCAGAGGTCTTTCACCTCCTTGGTTAAATTTATTCCTAGGTATTTTATTGTTTTGTAACCATAGTAAATGGGATTGCTTTCTTTATCAGCCATTTCATTATTGGTGTATTGAATTGGTACTGATTTTTGTATGTTGATTTTTTTATCCTGCAATTTTATTGAATTTGTTTATTAAATCTAATTTTTTTTGGTGGAGTCTTTAGGTTTTTCTAAATATAAGATTATATCATCTGCAAAGAGGGACAATTTGATGTTCTCTTTTCCAATTTGGACGCCTTTTATTTCTTTCTGTTGCCTGATAAGACTGACCAAGACCTTCATCAATGTTTTCTCCAATTTGTTTAACTATAAAGTGAATCAATTATGACTCATGTGATGCAATTCTGAAGCAAGTTTGTTTTTAAGTTATTTGGGTTAGTAATTCCCTTGCTCCAAGACAAGTTTAGGCAAGCACTGTGATGGTGATGGCTTTATGGGTCACAAAACACTGTCTCAGTTAATAATTAGAATATAGAACATTGTGATGGTGTAAACTTTAAGGTCTTTTCTCTTTTAGAGCTTAGGCCACCTGGAGGTTAGAATTCTGGAAGATATTAAACCTGAATCTCCATCTCATTGATACTCTTGTGTGGGTTGTGGAGACTTCTTTTCATTATTGGTAATCTTTTCTCTACAGTTCCCTTGACCGGGTGAATGTATTTCTCTTCTGGATTGTCACTTCTTTCTTTCTTAGCCTTTATGCAATGGAAATACTTTCAGCTTCTGTTTGCTGAGGTCTCTGCACTTTCTAGGAAGTCCTGCTGGCCAAGATTTAAGCTGATTTCACTCTGGCTATGTCTTTTATGGTGGTCCACACCTAGTCAATAGAAAATATTTGTGTTTTATTGTTATAACAAGCTCTACTTGTGTAGCCTGCCCAATTAAGTTACCTCTCTTTCAGCTTATCCATCATATCCTAGCCAACCATTCTCTTGCCATTTAGATTTTTCATAGGGAGTAAGACATCAGTCTACTCACCCTCCAAACACAAGGAAAATGTATCAGGTTTACTGATGATTATGGTAATTGCAGCCTCCTGGCTTCTATTATTTGGGGGCCCATTATGCCCATGAATGTGACCATTTTAATTAGCAATTCTATAAGAACCTGGCAGTTTATTCCATCCCCTGGGATCTTTGCTAGGCTGTTGAGTCCTGTGTCCTAAGAAAGTGCTCCCAAATCAATGACTTTTTGTGTATCCAGTCTTACATCTGGCCCCTTTGATAAAGAATCTTCAAAATCCAATGCCAGGAGTGCCCTGTTATCACTTATTGGTAAATATGTGCTAACTTTTGCAATTCTTTAAATGTATAGTTTATTACATCCCATACTGTGTCCGGAATTCGTTCCTTCTGCTGGGTTCTTGGTCTCGCTGACTTCAAGAATGAAGCCACGGACCCTCGTAGAGAGTGTTACAGTTCTTAAAGATGGTGTGTCTGGAGTTTGTTCCTTCAGATGTTCAGATGTGTCCGGAGTTTCTTCCTTCCGGTGGATTCATGGTCTCGCTTGACTTCAGGAGTGAAGCCACAGACCTTTGCAGTGAGTGTTACAGCTCTGAAAGGTGGTGCGTCCGGAGTTGTTTGTTCCTCCTGGTGGGCTCATGGTCTTGCTGACTTCAGGAGTGAAGCAACAGACCTCAGTGAGTGTCATAGCTCATAAAGATAGTGCAGTCCCAAAGAGTGAGCAGCAGCAAAATTTATTGTGAAGAGCGAAAGAACAAAGCTTCCACAGTGTGGTACAGGACACCAGTGGGTTGCCGCTGCTGGCACTAGGTAGCCAGCTTTTATTCCCTTATTTGGCCCTCCCACTTCCTACTGATTGGTCCTTTTTACAGAGTGCTGATTGGCCCATTTTACAGAGTGCGGATTGATGCGTTCTTACAGAGCGCTGATTGGTGCATTTTTACAGAGTGCTGATTGGTGCATTTTTACAGAGTGCTGATTGGTGCGTTTTTACAGAGTGCTGATTGGTACGTTTTTACAGAGTGCTGATAGGTGCATTTACAAACCTTTAGCTAGACACAGAGCGCTGATTGGTGTGTTTACAATCCTTTAGCTAGACAGAAAAGTCCTCCAAGTCCCCACCTGACCCAGAAGCCCAGCCAGCTTCACCTCTCAATACCAGGCTTAGCACATTTCTAGCCAGGTTACACAGAGATTTAATGTCAGTTATTAGCCTGGTAACCGGAGAGGATGTGAGAGCAGCTCCTGGGAATGGAGAGATCTATTGCCATTTGGGAAAGTGGAAGTACTAGCAATTACTAGGGAAGAGTGAGGTACTTCTGCAAGCCCCAAAGATCCAGGGGAGTTAGAGTCAATGTACTCAGGACATTTAACCGGATATACTTGTCCCATGTTTCAAGATCTCAGCCTTTCTCTAGGAGGTAGATAAACTTTGCATAACAGACCTGATTTAGTGAGCATTTAAACATCACAGAAGCTCCAGAGTTCATTGTTAATGAGGCCTTGAGCCTGCTGCTCAACTATATATTCTTCTACTGTTGGAAATAATGACCTCCTTATAAGCCACCACGGGGACTTTTTGGCTTTCATAATTAGCCATAAAGTGCTTGCTAAAAACCCTCAGAATCCCATTATCCTTCTGCAGGGTGTCAACATAATTTAGCAGTAACCAGTCAACTCCATTATTTTTGTATGCATTGTTTGTTACCTCCCTGCAGCCCTCCATTTTTCAAGTACCTGCATCATTACGCTTGCCACAGCATTCCCATACACTGGGACATTTTCCCAGGTTGTCATTGGTTGTGAAAGTTTTAGCAATTGAGCCATCACTTTGCTCCAGAGATTAGCCATATGCCCCACTTACCAAGACAGAATCTTCACCTGGCAGGCAGTAGGTAAGTCAGGTCAGCCATCTGTTACGCTGCTACTGCCACCTAAATTAGTTTGGATCTTCCAAGAAGCATATGCCAAGAAGGGATTAAATGTGCAAGAATATTATTAACAAAGATGTCTGTGAGATAACATGGGAGGGAGTTGGAGAAGGCTGAGAAAGTTTCATACCTGCAATAAAAGCCTGACTCTTAGTGAAAAAGAGAGGAAGGAAGCCAAGTTGGAAGGGTCCTAGACTGCAGTGCAGTCTAAGGAAAGCTCAGCAAAGGCTGTTGGAGGAACTTGTAAGCCAAAGCTGGCTATCAGAGAAGTCCCATATTTATCTGTAATGGGTTGGCCACAGTATTCTTCTAATTCTAGGCTGTTGCCTGAGGGTAACACAATAGATTTCAGTATACAGAAACTGGGCTCTTAGTTTGGAAGTTTACAGTGCACATCCTCATGGCCTCCACGCTAGGCTTGGATGAAGAAAAGGAAACCCAATCCTAGCCCTTCACTTTGACAAGGAGCAGACTGAAGCTTCCCACACAGCAATAACCACTTCCAAATACCCTCTTTATAAATTTTCTAGGAATCTTTTTGTCCTCAATGTAAATGATGGAGTTAAGAATTATTTTTTCTTTTATCCACTTTAAAAGTGCAGTAAAATGCTGTCATTTTGGAAGGTATGTGTATTGTCTTTATGCTTCAGCTAACATGGAGACAAGAAAAATACCATTTTAACATCCTGTGAGGTTTGCATTGGTTAATATGATAAAAGGATCATTGGTTACCAGGTAAAACAAATTTATTTTTGTGGTGGGGGTGGGTGGGAGGAAAAATGAAATGGAGGAGGACTATGCAGATATTATGGCGTCTCCCCAATCCAGTACTGCAAACGAAGTCATCTGGTTAAAGGAAATAACTTTTTTTTTCGTGAGAGATTTGGTGAGATTCTTGGAAGGAAATAATTTCATGAGAGTGTTCAGAGAGATTTGTAAAACTCTGGGTACAAGAAGAGCTCCAGTGGAAAAGTGTGTCTCAAACCTAGGGAGGAGGCTCTTCTACCTTTCTCTGGGTGAAAATGACATATGTGGTGAGAGCGTACATGAAAATCTTCTTGAGGATGGATAATATTCCTTGTCTTCATGGGCAGTGACAGTGCTTAAGCTTTTCCAATTGTCTTTACAAGGTGTAAAATGGGATTATGGAAATGTATGTGTCATACATGATACATTGCAGTGACCGTATCTATTACATGCTCTTAAGATCCAATTTTAGGTATTCCCAGAAATAACAGAGCCAAATTTTGCATGGGACTAATTTTTGGTAGTGAAAATATTGAGTCTTGTCTATGTATATCAGTCAGGCTTCAGGCAAGAAAATGGAAAACATTCTATATTGTAATTACAAAGAATTGTAACACATGAAATTAGAGGCATATATAACTGCTATCTAGGATGAGGAATCAGAATTCAGAAAAGATGATCTCAATTTGAACTCTGAGGTGGATTTCACCTAGAAATTGCTGGGAATTTAAGAACCTCTGGGAGCCTCCCACTGACTATCTTAATTTGCAGAACCAACTCAAGTGATTAACAAAAATTTACTATAATATGTTTCAGCTAAACTGTAGTGAGTGATTCACAGGAGACTGTCAGAAAATCATATAACTGCCATCTGCCTACTTGTCTGCCTGCAACTGTCTCTTTTAGTCACATCTTCTAAACAGTGTGAGATGGTTTCTCATTGACAGATGTTAACATAGAACCACATAGGGAAGAAGATGTTGGGAAATTTATTTAGAAGGATTCCTAGCAGGGGTGAAGATGATGTTGAGTTAACAAAAGACAATCCAATGTTCTATCACAATTGAGGAATACACAGAAATACAAAAGATCCTCAGACTATTACAAAACACCTCTATGCACACAAACTAGAAAATCTAGAGGAAACGGGTAAATTCTTAGAAACATGCAATTTCCACAGATTGAATCGGGAATAAATTGAAACTCTAAATAGGCCAATATCAAGTTCCAAAATTGAATCTGTAATAATAATTTAAAAAACCCTATGAACCAAATAAGGCCCTGGATTCACAGCCGAATTCTACCAGATGTACAAAAAAGAGCTGGTACCAATTCTACTGAAACTATTCCTAAGGAAGAGAAACTCCTCCCTAGCTCCTTCTGTGAAGCAGGCATCATCCAATGATAATGCTGGCCAATATCCTTGTTGGCCAAAGATTCAGTTGATGAATCCAGTTTTCCAAAATAGATGATTCTGATGATTCACATGATTCTGATGTTAGTTCTGTTTAGAAATAACTCCAAGAACAGTTTTTACATTTTATTTTCATATTGAAAATCAGTCAGATTTGCTTCAGCCTCAAAGAGCATGTTTATGTAAAATTAAATGAACTCTGGCAGCAAGCTGCACTTTTTTTTCTAAATGGGAAAAGTGTTAAAGATGTCATCCCATTATCATGAGTTTTAAAAAATGTATTTCTGTTCTTCAAATATACCTGATGATGATACAGGCCTATACCCTTGATGGATGTAAATGCAAAAATCCTCAACAAAATACTGGCAAACTTGAGTCCAGCAGCATATCACAAAGTTAATTTACCATAGACCCACAGACTAATAGGCTTCATTCATAAATTGCAAAGTTGATTTAATATATGCAAATCAATAAATGTGATTCACAAATAATCAGAATTAAAAACAAAAACCATATGATCATCCCAACAGATACAGAAAAGCTTTCAATAAAATCTAACACCTCTTCATGATTAAAAAAAAAACCCTCAAGAAAATAGGCATTGAAGGAACATACCTCGAAACAATAAGAGCCTTTTATGACAAACTCACAGCCAACATCACACTGGACAGACAAAAACTGAAAGCATTCCCCTTTCAGAGATCTAGAATAGATAAGAATGCTCACTGTCATCACTCCTATTCAACATAGCACTAGATATGCTAGCCAGAGCAATCTGACAAGAGAAATAAAATCATCCAAATAGGAAAACAAGTCACACTATCTCTCTTCACTAATGATACGATTCTAAAACTGTGCTTTATTTGTTAACAGAAATAGGGACCAGTGTAAATCTAACCGGTATGAAACCCATAGGGCCAGGAGGGACCGTTAGACAAGGGAACAGCAGTGCCATTCATGAAGCTATTGTCTCTGAGCTCCAAACACACTGTTCCATACTCTATTTCACTAGGGCTCAATCTCTATACACCACAATTCTACTTTTCTAACTGGTATTCTTTAGGCTTTGTTGATAGGGTGTGCTAGAGAGACATTGAAAGCCTAGAAGAAGAAGAAGAAACTTGCTCCTCCCTGTGCATTTATCTGCTTCATGACTGCTTTCTTTTCCTGTGTGTTTCATTCTAGTAATGATTTTTCACTCCAGGAGTACAATTCCTTCTCATAGCAGCAGAGGCGTCTAATTTGCAAATATTCTTTAATTTGAAGAACTACCTTCAGAGTAAGTTTACAGGCACCCCCTCTTCAGAGGTCTGAGTCAAAGTTGCTGTTGGGTCCCTCCTCTAAACACCTTCTGGTGTTTAGAGAAACCAGCACCAGGTGAGCATGCCATCCTCAAAGCTCTGTGTTTTAAATCTGCAGGTGTCTTTATCCTCAGTTTGAAGTTTTACTAATCTTAAACTTCTGCCTTTGTTTCTTCAGTCTTAGGGATGATTGCTGCCTCCTATCACTGCTATCCCCCTGATAATTCACTGTTATTTTTCCTTTTCAGTTACTCTGTTGAAAACGAATCCTAATTATTGTGTTTTTATATATTAAATTTTTTCTATACAAATAACTAGTGTAGTTTATGTTTCCTCACTGGGCTCTGACTGATACAGAAGACAGAGCCCTAAATTCTCTATTTAGGATTCAGACTAGCTCATGCCACCCCAGTTATCACCACAAAGGATTACAGATAAAGAAGATATAGAAATGGGGAATATTGTTAGAGAACAATTGAAACAATAAAGATATAAAACTTACACTTCTTCCAACCAGGATATTCATTTCACTAGTAAGGCAGTATAAAACTGGGTGTAAAAGAAGTACCTTAAATTTTCATGACATGTAACCCAACACCTATGGCTAAATGTGTTAATAAAATGGGCTATTCAATTGTTCCTTCTATAAACTAGCACTGCCATAGTACATAGGGATTATCTGACAATATAGTTAAATATTCAATGTATTTGAATGTGTGAGACTTTTAGGTACAGTCTGGGTGGACTCATTTATTAGGGAGACAGAAATAAGTAGGTTAATATAGGATTGAACCTTGAGATAAGTTTTATAAATGCTATATAGAACCATTTTATTCCCATTGATTACATCTATTGATTATAGGCATGGGCTTTTGGGTGAAGGTGCCAGAAAGGGCCTTTCTCAGACTTAAGTTCCCTTTGATGATCTATACTACAATTAGGCAATGGATACTATTAGTAGCTTCATGAATTGAATTCAAAACTCCTGCAGCCCTGCATGCTACATTGAAAGGGATGATGAAGCTAGCAAAGGCTATTAATGTAATAACCTCTCATTAATTCTGAATGTCCACTTATTCTATATCCCAGTTCAACTGAATAGTCTAGGGATCACCAAGGAAGACCTAGAGAAGGAGCCAACTTGGTAACGTGAAGCCAGTTTTGCAGGAAATACAATTTGGTAACAAAATAAGCTTTCTTCTGTTTATCTAAGCTGTGATACTTAGTACAGGACTGTATTCTAGGCAATACTAACCACAGTTGGTGCAAAAGATCAACTTCTAATGTTATTTCTATAAGTTACAGCCTAGCTATGAAGGTAAGACTCTCCTGGGTGCAATGCCCTATCTACCACTCAATTGGTTGTGACAATTTTCATGTCAATTATATATGTAGGTCAAGAGGAGTCAGGATTATTTGGGGGTCAGAAGAACAAAATTTATGACTAGCAGGAAGTTTTTTTTTTTAATGTTTTGCAGCTATTATTGTTGGAGAAAATGAATATATAATTGTAGTCATCAGACCACTCACTGTCAGAATCATCCAGGTCATAAAAGAGTACCAAATTCAGGCCGGGCGCGGTGGCTCACGCCTGTAATCCCAGCACTTTGGGAGGCCGAGGCGGGTGGATCATGAGGTCAGGAGATCAAGACCACGGTGAAACCCTGTCTCTACTAAAAACAAAAACATTAGCTGGGCTTGGTGGCGGGCGCCTGCAGTCCCAGCTACTCGGGAGGCTGAGGCAGGAGAATGGCGTGAACCCGGGAGGCGGAGCTTGCAGTGAGCCGAGATCGCGCCACTGCACTCCAGCCTGGGCGACACAGTGAGACTCCATCTCAAAAACAAAAAAACAAAACAAACAAAAAAAAGAGTACCAAATTCAAGACAATATACTTTTTAGGGCCTTGGAAACTGGATACAGAGATATTTCTCAGAAATGCTTAGAAACTGGTCAAAACTGGTTCTAGTTTTGCAAAATGAGGATGTGGCTTTGATGATACAAAATTTGGTTAAAAGAAAAGAGAGCCTGACATTTGTAAACATTATCTTGCGTGAAAGGATTATTTGCAGAGATTACACATATAAACCCCTAATAGAGATATTGGAGACTAAAATGTGTGTGTGTGTGTGGTGGGGGGGTGTTTGTGTGTGTGTGTTGGGGGGGGTGTTTGTGTGTGTGTGTGTGTGTGTGTGTGTGTGTGTGTGTGTGCTGCTTCCTACCACCAGTTATCTCTAGGTAAATGCTGCAGCTACAAACACCGCTGGCGAGTATTCATTACAGGTGTTCTCAGTACAGATTAAGACTTTTAATCAACAATTTCAGTAGAGCTTTTGATATTTAATGTTTTTGGCTTAATTTTATAATAATAGTGAAAAACAAGGAATATATAGAAGGAAGAAACAAGGTTGGAAACAAACCCAAAACCTGAAACTAAACCAAAGATTTCTCTTGGATACTCTCTAAATATGAACTTCCTGCTAGTGGCATAAGACAAGTTATTTAATTTGTCTGTGTTTCATTGTTCTTAACTATACAATGAGGATAATAATAGTCCCTAGCTCAGGGCTCCTATAAGGAAATCAGATAGTACATATAAAATAACTACTAGGTTGTTTGGCACAAAGTAAGTACTAAATAAATATTAGCTACTAGTATTGCCTATTATTATTATTACTATCATTAATTGGAGGAGGAGAATAAAGAGGAAGAAAGTCATCTGAGGCCACAGAGTAACAGTCAGGGAGCCTAATCTATTTTAATTGCAGGCTTTTTTATTAACATCTGTGTTGAAATGTTTCCACATTCTCTTTTCCACTGCTGTTGGGATAATGTCCAAGTTCGTTAGTAAGATGTTTAAGTGTGTTTTTAATGAGGCTTCAACGATGCTGTCAGTCATCACATGTTTTAACTATTCTGACCTACTTGATAATTCTCAAACATAAACTTCATATTTCCATATATTTGGTAATTTTTCCTTTTGTTGGAGTGTCCTGCCCTTTCCCTTTTTATATCTGTCAAATTGTTATTTACCCTTTATTACATAGCTGTCTTAGTCAGAGATTGTTTGGATGCAGTACCAGAGATCACCTTAAGCTAAATTTTATAAAAACTGTGAATTTAATGGAAGGACATACAAGGCTATCAAACAGAACCTAAGGGCGAGAACTGCAGTTAAGCTTCAGGAGGACTAGAGTCAGAAATTGGAAAATAGCCTGGAATCAAAACTCTTTTTCTCACTCTCCTTGTCTCTTTCTGTGAAGCTAAATGTCATTTTATTATCTTTCCTTCAGTGTAGGCTTCATTCTTCTATCTCTCTGAAATTGGGTTCTTTTTTTTTTTCATGTACATGATGGAAAATAGCTACCACAGGCTTTGTATTCTTTCAATTTAGTTAATAACATAATGGTTTAGAATTTTTATTTCCGAAGTATTGTTTTTTTTGAAAACATTGTCAAATTACTCTAGCTTGGGCCAAGCTTCTCCTGTAGGATCAGCCTTGGCTAGGAGAAGCATAGATATTTACTCAAACATATCTTCAGGGCCACCTCTTGATGGGAAGAAAAGGATGCATGGCTAGGAAGAGTTTATGTAGGGCAGGATGCCTACATTTATCTTCTCTTTAAAGCATATTCAAACTCCTGCCAGGTAGGATTCGTTATTCTTCTCTGTGAGCCTTTAGAACTCATCATATCATAATATTGTTAATTATACAGAACACACATAAATATCCTCATTAGAGTGTGAGTGCCTCAAAGACTAGTGGGTTGTCTAATTTATCTTTATATTTTAAGCACTTAATAGTGATACAGCCCTTAAAGAGCTCCAAGTAATAGGGGAAAGCCAAGAATAATAATTTCAAGAGAAGGAAATATTTTATAAGAGAAACCAGCATTATAGAAGTTCAGGAAAACTGAAAATCATTTTTTATGTTAGTGACCATGAAGTTTTCATGAACAACATGGCATGTTAATTGTACCTTGAAGGACATGTCATTTTTGCCAGGTAAAGAAGTTAAAGGCATTTTCACCCCTAAAAAGAAAAAAAATTGTGACAGTAGAGAAATAGCAAGATGTAAAAATGGAAATGTAATGTGAGATTCAATAAAATTGTGTGGTCATTTGGAACCCATAAAAGGGATAAATGCAAGGTAAGATGATAAATACAATTTGTATAAATTTAAAAAGATTTCACTGAAAGAATATTTATTTTTTGTACTATATTTTGCAAGATAATAATTAAACAAATAGACATATTTTAAATTTAACCCCTTTCCCATTTAGAAAAAAAAAAGTACAGCTTACTGCCAGCACTCATTTAATTTTACATAAACCTACTCTTCAAGGCTGAGGCAAATCTGACTGATTTTCAATGTGAAAATAAAATATAAAAATGCTCTTGGAGTTATTTCTAAACAGAACTAACATCAGAATCATCTAAATCATCAGAATTGTTTATTTCGGTAAAATAGGATTCATCAAATGAATCTTCAGCCAACAAATGTTTGAGAATGATGTTAACATGTAGGCATGCGACATTTTTTAGGATTTGACATTTTCAGCGATCGAGAATTACTATATTTTTATAAATGGACAGACCACTAATAAACACAGAATGCTATAAACAGAATGATGTCTTTTGTTTCCAAAGTTGATATACCAGAGGAACGTGAAAATAATAATAAAAGCGAGATATTTCATGGCAAAGTTATCTCTACGTAAATGCTGCAGTTGCAAGCACTGCTGGCGAGTATTCTTGCTACATTCAGGACAAGGGTTAAAATGGTTGCTTGCGGAATAAAAGTGCTGTCTGAGGATAAAAGACAATAAGTGTATAGTGAGGAGGCTAAATTGTATACTTTTGTTTGCCTAGAAAAACCTATTAACAACAGCCCCTTTTTGGAAAAGTTTACTAATAAACGGCATTCAATAAATCACCAGATCAAAGATTTATATTTTAGTCTTACCAGAGTGGGAACAAATGAGAACAAGCGAAGGCTATCCTGAGCTTGCTATAGCAATGGAGTCAGCTACCATCAGCAGTGTTTGGTACAGACTCAAAGGCAGGCAAAGGAATAGGAATGCTTTATAGTGGGAAAAGGAAAGCCTTCAGGTGTGCCTTGATTAGGGGTTCTGGCGTGGAAAAGCCATAGGTGGGATAAACTAGAAGTGAGGCATCCTATGTGATTGGCTTGGAGAACATATTTGGATGCCTCTAGACGGTCCTAAAGTCATGCAAAAATTGGGGAAGCCATCGATTATTAATCAAGTCCAGGGCATTTGGGGCCACTTGTTAACAAGGTTATCATTTGGCTTCCTGGACCATTTACTGTGAATAGTGGTCTGATTTCTTACAAGCCTGACTTGCATATAGTAGGTTGGCATCCTAAGCTGTTTATTATAGGTAAGGAGTTTGTTTCCTGGGCTAGTTACTGCAGATTGAGGGTCAGAGTTCTATTTTTATATACGGATTGGCCATTGTTGGTTTGTATATTTAGTTTCTCATCTACAAACATACTAAATGCTTGAAGGTACAAAGGGAATCTTTTTTATGTATACAGGTCCATTACAAAGAACTACACTAAGCTCTTATTTATTATAAATATGTTGAACAAATTAAATATATAAATAGTTATAAGTGAGGAAAACAAAGATTCTTATATAGTATCCCAAATTTTTAGGCCTAAAAACTTATGGGCATAACATGATAGTAGTAACAATACTTTTGTTTCCTATCTTCATTTTCTTGTTAAATATTTATAGTTCTTCTCCAGGTATTTAAATGTTAGGCCAATTCCTACAGATCCTACTTGATGCCATTGTTTATTATTACTTCCCCACCAAACAAAAGCCATCTTTTTTTACTGAATAAAGATTTTTTGCCTGTTTCTTTATTTCCATAGGAAACTCTGTAATTCATATTTAGAATGAGCTTGTAAAAAGCCTTTCTCTTTAGTCAGTACATACCCAGGCAAGTGTGTAACCCATTTTCTTCTGAAGTTGGGATTTGTGCTGTAAATAAATAAAACACTCACCACCAAGTCAGTCTGAATAAA